>NC_000018.10:10910149-11210199 GCF_000001405.40 Homo sapiens
GACAGTAAAATGAAATTAAAATGACTTTTTTTCTTTCAATAGCTATATTTCCACTGAAAATTTGAGATAAGATGCTAAATGCCACTGGTAGAAAGCTGTGCAAAATGCTAACATTCATTCCAAGGTAGGTGGTTTAGAAACTGCATTGACCAGCGGGTGCAGTGGCTCACGCCTGTCATCCCAAGCCCTCTGGGAGGCCGAGCTGGGCGGATCACCTGAGGTCAGGAGTACAAGACCAGTCTGGCCAACATAGTGAAACCCTGTCTCTACTAAAAATACGAAAATAAGCTGGGTGTGGTGGTGGGCGCCTGAGATCCCAGCTACTTGGGAGGCTGAGGCAAGACAATCACTTGAACCCAGGAGGCAGAGGTTGCAGTGAGCCGAGATCATGCCAGTGCACTCCAGCCTGGGTAACAGAGTAAGTCCCTGTCTCAACAAAATTTAAAAAAAAAGAAAGAAAAAAAGAAAAAGAAAGGAAAAGAAAAGAAAATGCATGGACCTACCAGCACATTTTCTGATGTTTTAATGAGTCTATTTTTGTTTCTTTTGGGGAGATGCTGGTGTGGAGATGCTTTTAGCTAAGAAAAACATCATCTCAGGTTTTCACTTAAGGCTAATAAGATCTAACATTTTTAATAATTGGGAAGACATCAATAGAAATATAAACTTTTCTGTTCTAAAACTGTAGAATTGGTTATGACATAGGAGGTGATGAAGCTAGGGGAGAGTCAACCATTTCCTGGGATTCTCTAATTCTGTAACTTACTTTGTGTACTGTTTTACAGTTCAAGATGCGTTTTCACATCAATTGCCCCATTCTATCTTTATTTCCACTCTGTGTGCAGGCAAGGCTTTATGAAGTAATGCTCTACAAAGAAACTGAGGCTCGGAGGGGCAAAATGACGACTTGATCAAGGTCATACAGTTACCAAAAGGGTGGTGACAGGACTATTGATTTATAATCAATAAATTACTTAGAAGAAATTACTTAAAAGACAAGAGTAACTAAAATGGAGACATGCCAACCCTTGCTTACCTTTCAAAGCCGATCTGCCGGAATGTCTTTTCCCATGTTGAGCCTGTAATGGAAGGGAGAGACATAATCAGGGCACATCAAGGACTCAGATAGTTTTGTTCGGCTTTTCCACACACGCTAGATATTTGGTTTTATGTTTAGGTAGGATGACTGGTTTTTCTTCAAATGCATTACTCCCCACCTCCAGTCCCAGATGGCCTTTGTAGAGTACAGAAAATTTAATAAAAAGTCCGCATATACAGAAGTCGAGTCCACATAGGGATTTAAGTGCATATAACCTGCAATGTGGCCAGCCGCAATGGCTAACGTCTGTAATCCCAGCACTCCGGGAGGCCAAGGCAGGCAGATCACCTGAGGTCAGGAGTTCGAGACCAGCCTGGCCAACATGGTGAAACCCTGTCTCAACTAAAAATACAAAAATTAGCCGGGCATGGTGGTGGGCACCTGTAATCCCAGCTACTCGGAAGACTGAGGCAGGAGAATCACTTGAACATGGAGGCAGAGGTTGCAGTGAGTCAAGATCATGCCATTGCACTCTAGCCTGGGCGACAAGAGCAAAACTCCATCTTGAAAAAACAAAACAAAACAAAACAACAACAACAACAACAAAATATGCATGTGACAGAACTCTCCATGCCAACCCCTCTGGTAAAGCATTAGGCCACGCCAATAATTCTCTAAAAATCTAAGTGTGTCCTGCTCAGAAAAATATGGTGGAACTCTCCTGTTAAACGTAATCAAACAGCTGTACGTTCTAAAATTCAACTTGTAATTTTGTGGAGCAATCTGGAAAGCCAGGTGACACTGAAGTTCCAACACATCACCCACCATGCCTTTATCTTACCAGTGTTGACCACAGAATTCACATATTCTTTTTTTTTTAAGCTAAACATGTTAAATCAGAAGAACACAAAAATGCTATTCCAACTGATATCAAGAACAGTATATCCAAATCCATAAGAGATGGACAGCTGGGTATAAAAAAGATGTTATACAATTTTTCTATGTAATATTTCTTCCCTATGTCACAGGCATATAATAATTTTCTGAGTACCTGATATAAGGAAAAGTGCTAAATTTTAGGAAAAACCTTTTTAATAAAAATTCTGCATTTACCAAAAGTAAGGATTTGTGCTAACCCGTGCCATTTGTTTACATTTTCCTGATGCTTAGTCAATGGTAAACATATTCTGATTTCAGTAACTATTGCAGGTAAATACCCACCTAGCCCTAAATTCATAAATTGTGTTGTGCACTAGGTGCTTGATAATCACAGCAGGTAGTTATTGATAATTACTGCCTTTCTGATAGAGTTACTTCTGTCAATAGGAAACGGTGGGTTCAGCACTGAGTCCCCAGCTAAAAGGCAGCTGAAAAGCTACCTGGCTTCTTTTCCTAAAGTCAAATTAAACTCGTACGGTGCTTAGGTTTATTTCTTGAGAACTCTGCCTCAAAGGCTTCATCTTCGGATGGCCACTAAGTGTCTCCTAGACATTAGGCTTCCTCAAGAGGAGTAGGAGGCCCCAGGGCCAATTCTCTGGACTTCTCTAAGGACTGAACTAGTCCCAAGAGATCATGATCATGGGGTTTTGCCAGGGGACCTGGGTTCATACTAGTTGGTCATGATGGAGTGTTTTAAATAATTCTGATAAATAATAAATGACTAAATTTCGGATGTGGATTAGACACACAAACACATTTAAAGCAGATTCAGGCTTATATTTTCACATGAAGTCACTCTTCTCTGGCTGAATTCCAATATGTTTTGCTGAGTAGGAGTAAAAAAAAAAACACAGACTTTGAGCTAACCAGCCCAGGAATTTCTTTTGGCCCCTGGCCCAGGGGAGTGGGTCCCATGTGAATGTCTTCTGACCTGTGAGTCACATGCAAAACAATTAAGAATCCCTTTCTCAGGAATTCTTTTTAAAAATATTGTTATTTTTAATTGACACATAATAATTGCACATATTTATGGGAACAGTGTGATATTTTGATACATGTCTATGATGTGTAATTCTCAGACAATTATCCTGCCCCTGAAATCCTAGCAATTAAGAGACTGGCAGAGAATACATAACCTGTGGAAGCCACAGTGTGTTCAAGAACCGTGGCAACTGCCTGCCTAGACTATGAGGTGGGAGAGATGAGGGTCTCCTACCAAAATGAGAACCAGATGGCCAAGCACAGGCCAAGTGTGGAGGGTCCCCGGAGGGAAGGATTGGACGGTGAGGAGGTTGAGATGCTGCTCGGCTTGACTTCTCTTGCTTCGTGGAAGAAACAAAGCACCTTTTACATTTTTCTACATTTCCACTGTTTTCTCAGATATTTTCAGTATTATTCTTATTTTTTATTTTTAATAGGTTCAATTACTTTTCTTAATAGGTTCCATTTATTATTCAGGTAAATTTTTTAATTTAAATGATTTTGCTATACTATATTGTTAGGCTTTTTTAACAGGGAGTTTTAATTTAAAAATAAGTCCCATCTTCCTACTTCTGCGAAATGTAAACTTATTTAAACAGGCAGGACAAGTCAAAAGGTTTCGATGCAAGACACTCAGTACTCCTGAGAATAAACATTAGGCCACTCAACCAGGCACAACAGCAGTGGCAGAACGACTTCTTTCTATTCACCAGAAATCAACTTAATAATTTCAGTGTCTGACATACCACAGGCTCATCATTTTTTGCCATTGATACTTTCCTAACCATCTTAACATGCTAGGTATGAGACTAGATATATTAAAATATGGTTTCTGCCCTCAAACTCCACATACCCTAGAGGTTTGGATTTTTATGTCTTTTGTGAGCACTTAGTCATGATGAAACAAGAAACACACAATAAATGGAACAGACATGTCCAGATCCTTTGGCACCACGAATATTTCTGGCAGCCCATTATTCAGTTGCTGGGGAATTCTTTTAAAGCCATTAACCATGCTTTACATAGTAAGGTAATATTATTCACTTTCGCCAAAGCAGTCCAACACGGGGAAAGTAGAGAAAACAAAAGTAGCTGGCAGACTTCCTTGATTCAACACTTTTTAAATGAGATTTATAATGTAGAGAAGTTTAAAACATGTTATTTTTTTTTTTTCAGGAAAACCGAAACAGCAACAATAATTAAAAGGAAAATATATAGCATGGAGAATGGATGTCCAGTCATCTCTCAGTATCCACAGGGAATTAATTCCAGGACCCCTGTGGACCCCAAAATCTGCAGGTGTTCATGTCCCTCATATAAAACAGTGTAGAATTTGTATATAACCTTGCAGCCCCCTGCATACTTCAAATCATCTGTAGATTAATTATAATACCTAGTAATAGATATAAATGCTATGTAAATAGTTGTTATATTGTACTGCTTTTTACATTTGTATTGTTTTTATTGTTGTATTTTTTTCAAATAAGCTTTTTCAAATAATTTCGATCTGAGGTCAGTTGAATTTGTTGGTGCAGAACCCATGGATACGGAGGGCCAACTGTAATTCATAGAAGGGATTTTTTCCTTTCAAATCTTAGATGAAGCAGTTAGAAATAATGAACTGTGATTCTTCACTTTCAGAAACTGTCCTTTGTAGATCCAGTATCCGGTCAACAGAATTGAAATGCAGAGCGGAAGATGGCAGAGTCCAGACACGGTAAACAAACCTTGGACTAAATTGCATTCAGCTGCAGAGCAGGTCCCAATGTCTACCACGTGTGTCCAGGGTGACAAACCAGCCTTTAAGCTCCTTTCAGGTAGGATGTTTCCTCCTGAATAAGTAAACCAGCCATCGCTCCTTTACGAATGAATCCAGCTCTGCCTGTCCATTCTCCTCTCACCCTCCCTCTTCCACCCTATCTACCTATCAACCTCTGTGGCTTCCATTTTCCCTCCTCTCTAATAACATTGCTGCACCACAATTAGCTACATGGGGTCAAGATGGAACCTCTGCCAGTTTCTGCACCTATCTGGTAGGAAGCTCTCTCTCCTCAGCTGCCAGAAAGCCAGGCTCACCCATGACCAAGTTTGCTGCCACATGCAACAGCCTGTGTGTAAGAGGGAAGAATGGGTCACGTGTGCAGAGGGAAGCAGGGATGGAGAGAGGAGGCTGACCCCTCATGGCATCCCCATCTGCCTCTGTGCACTCCATCAGGATGCCCTCGCCTTCCCTCACTTCCCAGTTACAGGGAAGAAAAAATAACCTGGGTCACCTATTCTCATTTTAAGTCGGGGCTCTGATACCTGTATCTCAAAGAGCACTCAAGATAGACAATGAAAATAAGAACAATTCCTTGAACATCCAAATTTTAGGTAGTAAGGAAAGCAAGTTTAACAATTTCTAGCCATCTTTAGTCCTATTTTAAATCAAGAGTGGCATTTCCCCCAAATTAACATAGCAATAAAACAGTTTGCAGTTATTAATCCCTTACCAAGTAGGTGCTAGCTTCCTATATATTAGCTAACTTAAGCTTCTCAAATACTCTGTGAAATTAGTACTATTACTACATCCCCTTTTCAGGTGAGGAAACCAAGGGTTAGAGATTAGGGACCCCAAGGCCAATGTTCTTATTTACCCATTGGATCGTCTCATCTTGGGAACTGTGTTCTGCGTCCAGAATTGGTGGGTTCTTGGTCTCACTGACTTCAAGAATGAAGCCGCAGACCCTCGCAGTGACTATTACAGTTCTTAAAGGTGGAGTTTCTAGATTAGCTAGACACAGAGTGCTGATTGGTGCATTTACAAACCTTTAGCTAGACACAGAGTGCTGATTGGTGCATTTACAAACCTTGAGCTAGTCACAGAGTGCTGATTGGTGCATTTTCAAACCTTGAGCTAGTCACAGAGTGCTGATTGGTGCATTTACAATCCTTTAGCTAGACACAGAGTGCTTGGCAGAAAAGTTCTCCAAGTCCCCACCAGAGTAGCTAGACACAGAGCACTGATTGGTGCGTTTACAAACCTTGAGCTAGACACTGTGCTGATTGGTGCATATACAGTCCTCCAGCTAGACACAAAAGTTCTCCAAGTCACCACCCAACTCAGGAGCCCAGCTGGCTTCGCCTAGTGGATCCCATGCCAGGGCCGCAGGCAGCCAGTCCCACGCTGCACGCCCCTGCACCCCTCAGCCCTTGGGTGGCCGATGGGACCAGGAGCCGCCTAGCAGGGGGCGGCGCCTGTAGGGGAGGCTCGGGCCTGTGCTGCAGCCAACCGCGGTAGGGCTCAGGCATGGCAGGCTGCAGGTCCGGAGCCCTTCCTCGAGGCGAGGAGGCAGAGGCTTGGTGAGAATTTGAGCATGGCGCTGGCGGCCCAGGAGTGCTGGGGGACCCAGTTCCCCCTCCACACCTGCTGGCCCGAGTGCTAAGCCCCTCACTGCCAGGGCGTGCGGCACCAGCAGGCCGCTCTGAGTGTGGGGTCCGTGAGGCCGCGCCCATCTAGAACTCGCGTCGGCCGGCGAGTGCAAGCAAAGTCCCAGTTCCTGCCCATGCCTCTCCCTCCACACCTCCCCACAAGGAGAGGGAGCCAGCTGCAGCCTCGGCCAGCCCAGAGACGCGCTCCCATAGTGCAGCAGCGGGCTGAAGGGCTTCTCAAGCATTGCCAGAGCGGGCCCCAAGGCGGAGGAGGCACCAAGAATGAGCGATGGCTGCCAGCACGCTGTCACCTCTCAGTTCTAGTCTTCCCTTCCTTCTCCATATTCCTGTTTTTATTCTCCTCCCTATCATGTGTCTCCTGCCTCCTGCCATCTGATTATAATTTTTAAAAAATACCTTTTTTATTCCACAAAGTTGTAGTGTCTGATGATGAATTCTGGAAGCCTGTGAATGCCTATAGAAGTTCTCTGTCATCAAACTTCCTTGCACACGACCTTCCATCCAGGCCCTGAGAATTCTCCTGTGTTGATTTTGTTTAACACTCCCCAAGTACAGGGGGAGTTCGTTCTGTACAAATATACATAGACAAAAGGTCGGTCACCCACCAATATGCTCTCCGCAGCTGATGGAACAAGGGAGATTATTTTTTATTTCCTCTAATTTTTTTCTGTAATAGTGGTTTAAAACCACAGGGCTTTGCTTGTTACTTTAAATCAGACATCTGATTTCTAATAACAGCTCTGCCTCTGGTCATCTTTATTTCCTTAGACAAGTTACCCTTCAGTCTTTCTCCTCCCTTAATATAACACAAAAGGGTTTTTAACAGGCTCCTTTCATTTTGCAGTTTTATATTTTCATGAACATCATCACTGGAAAAGAAGACATCTCTGTCTTCATATTGTAAATTCATTATTCACTTGGTCATCATGTTTCTTCATTGATTACTTTTACCAATCATTCTTTCAATGGATTCATTGCTCAATTTTTACTACAGAAAAAAGTAACTTCGTTTTCCCTCTAGGTTACCTAATGTAGTGGTAAAACTGGTGGTCAAAGGAGGCACAGTTTTCATTTAATTCAACAGTTTTTCATGAAGCATGTCTCAGCCGCTGAGAGCCACCTGAATGTGGACCTGCCCCTCTGCTTCTTCAAAATAATCAGCAGAAAAGGATTAATAATTCATGGAAGTGGTGGTTTTTTGCCAGCATATTCCTATAAAAAGGGAAATATTTTCACATACTGTAGGGGCTGCCAGGCAGCTGAACATGTGGCCTGGCACAGAAATTGGTGATGAAACTAAAACATCAGGAAATTGTACCACTCATAACTTTTCTGCCAGAAGTTTCATTTACATTATTTTTAACTCTTCAGAGGAAGAGATTTTCATATCTAATCAAAGGAGCCAAGATTTTTTACCATGCATTGAACACTGAACATAATGTGAAATTCTAAGAGAAAAATAGATTTTTCCTCTCAATTAATAGTGACATTTTACTTTGCCAATATTAAGATGATCTTCTGTTGAAATTTAGCTGAAATCTGTTTAACCCCAGAAATGGCTGCTCTAATGGATGATATATACCCAAGGAATACAATTTTCTCAGCAAATGAGTAATTTCAGCCTTTTGGGTTAAATGGTGAGATCTATAAAATTTTCCAAGTCCTATTTCCCACATGAGGTTCATCATTAATAGATTAAAAGTAATTGTAAAAGAGATAAGACAAAACATTATTTATCATCCCTTAATTAATAGTTTTCATATTTAATGACACATTGTTTTTTAAAATATCATTTTCACATCTACCTAATACTCTTGCAATGTCTATTTTCCCTGATCTGATCATAAATATCTAGATGGCACAACCTTAAGTATATGATAATTGCTGTTGTTTATATTTGGCTTTTTATCCCATGTATCCTTTATCAGTTCTTTTCATAATGTCTTAATATTTTGT
This sequence comes from Homo sapiens, assembly GCF_000001405.40. NCBI lineage: Eukaryota > Metazoa > Chordata > Mammalia > Primates > Hominidae > Homo > Homo sapiens. The sequence continues at coordinate 10,918,497 of NC_000018.10, forward strand.
CATATTATGTGAAGGGTGGGTGATCTCGTCATAAAAGACAAAAGTCAGAATTCATCAGTCTCACTATCAACATATGTTCAATGGTGCGCTTTTCAAAATAAATAGCTTTATATTTTTCCTTATTTGTAAAATAACAATGATTTACAAAACGTGAAAATACTAAAAATCTTTTATTTTTGCATAGACTCCCCCACACACTAAGACCAGCACATACAAAATACAACCACTCTATTTCGAATCCTGCTTTAATTACATATTAATATATAATTAACTCAATGTCTATAAATATAGCCATGTAATCACTTTACTGCTTATATAGTGTTCCATAGTTTAACAAAATTTAATTTCTGATTAATATGTAAATTTATATCTACATTTTTGCTGTTATATATAACATTGCAATGAGCAACTATACCTATATCTTTGAACATTCATTCAATTATTCCTTTAGGGCAAATTCCTAGGAGTATAATTATAAGTATATGTAAAATTTTGATTAACGCTACCAAAATTCTAACCCTCAAATTTATTCAAATATATGTGCTCAATTGAATTTTTTTAACACAGAGTTGAGTTTTTTATAAATCTTTTTTATCTTTTACAAAACATTTTATTTTAACTTACATTTTTATAATTAGTAATAAAATAAATTTTCTTAGGTTTGTCAGAAATTTTAACATTTTATGTGCATGTTGTGTGAATTGTCTCTTCATGCCCATTGTCTATTAGATGTTTGTCTTTAATCCTTTAATCCCAAATATGGCATATCTGCAGCCAATTCATTTGCCCTTTAGGTTCAAAATTTCATATACTAACTTCCCCGAATAGAACTGATGAATGTTTATCATGATTAATTTCTACCATTTTAGCTTTTGAATTTTTCAATTTTCTTTTGTTGTCCCAGTAAGTGCAAACAAATATTATATTTGTTTTTTGGCCCTTAGGAATTTTTTAATATCCAAATACGTCAACTCAAGAAGGTATTGAATGAGTTCAACACATGTGTTATGCCCTCATTTTGGGTTGGCCAGTCAGGCTGAAAAGACCCTGCCACACCTACTCACTCTTTGTAGAGACTAGGGCAGGTCTGTTCACAAACATCCATGCTTCAACACTCTCATCTATGCATGGAGGGTACTGCAACACCTTAACATTGTTTCTTTTCAAAAATTACTTCCATATTACTCTCAAAAGAAACATGAATCCTAAATAATTAACTCCATCATCAAATAATGAATTTTCCAAGATAATCCTTGACTACAAGATTTCTGGTTTAAGATTGGTTCTGATTGGCAGTCTATAACGCTTCCTCTACCAACTTCCCACTAAAGTAGATGTAGACACACTGGAAAGTAGAGACACACACACACACACAGAGTAAGTTGAGTTACTAGTAAAAATCCCTTTAAGAACCTTGAAAATAGAATCATAAAGGAATTTTCACTAATAGGTCAATTTAACTGAATTGCAAAACTCAAATTATAGTGTTGTATGTGTATGTCTCCCGTGGAAACCAAGCAAACAAGCCAGCCTTGAAAAAGATACAAGTATATTTCATTCTTTTCCCACAGTGTTCCCCCTAATTCAGAAACACAAGATTCGCACTAACTAGAAACTGGGCAACTGTGTCATTCCTGAATAGAAGCCTCCTTCTGAGAAAGCCAGACTCTTGCTCTTATCAATATCATGATCACCCCACCTTCCCCTGACTTCTATTATCTTTCTACATCTAGTCCCACTCTCAGAAACAATGGGGCAATTGGGCAGTAAGAGAGAGTGTGCATAGCGTGTGTGTTGGGAATCATAGAAAGAAAGAAGCCAACCCCCACAGCCCAGTGTCTTTTAGGAGATACGGCACTCGTCAGCAAAAAGTTATCGGAACAGTTAGGGACTGAAAATTCCTGGCAATTATACAATATGAACACCGGAAATAGCCTAAATATGCAGTAATTATAAAATGTTTACATATGCTATTTAAATGTAGTGGGTAGTATGTGACATTAAAATTAGATTTTTGATAAAATGTGATGAGAAAACTCAGACACACAGCCTTCATGCAATTTTGTTGGAAATATAGTCAACATGCTGTTACAACTCGTTCATACCCAGGTTTCCATGACTTCAAGTTTTGTGTTCTTTTTCTGCTACTTCAGCAAGAGTATTTAGAGACACAAGACGGCCAATCATAGAATCTGGGGGAAATTAAGAATATTTAAAAAGCAGATCAAGAAAGAGGAACTACTTAAGACAACAAAAGGAGGTGTAAGAATGTGCAGGCCAGGCACGGTGGCTCACACCTGAAATCCCAGCAGTCTGGGAGGCAAGGTGGGCAGAGCACCTGAGGTCAGGAGTTTGAGACCAGCTTGGCCAATGTGGTGAAACACTGTCTCTACTAAAAATACAAAAATTAGCCGGGCATGGTGGTGGGTGCCTGTAATCCTAGCTGTTCAGGAGGCCAAGGCAGGAGACTCGCTTGAACCTGGGAGGCAGAGGTTGCAGTGAGCCAAGATCCTGCCATTGGACTCCAGCCTGGGCAACAAGGGCGAAACTCCGTCTCAAAAACAAACAAACAAACAAAGAATGTGCATGGAGGAGTTTTAAGAAAGAGGGAGTCAAATCTAATAGAGGCCAGCTTTGATTACAGGTGATCATTCATTATAGGCCTTTTGGAGAAGATGGTGATGTGTATCAAAAAAGTTTCAGTGGAATTGTGGAAAAGATAAGGTGACGGAGCAGTGAGTTGTAAACTAAATGGAAGGTAGAGAAGGAGAGACAATGAGGACAGACTTCTCTGTTGTGGGAAGTTAGGGACCCCAAACAGAGGGACCGGCTGAAGCCATGGCAGAAGAACATGAATTGTAAAGATTTCATAGACATTTGTTAGTTCCCCAAATTAATACTTTTATAATTTCCTATGTCTGTCTTTACTGCAGTCTCTAAGCTTAAATTGTAAAGATTTCATGGACACTTATCACTTCCCCAGTAAATATCCTTGTGGTTTCCTATGCCTGTCTTTAATCTCTTAATCCCATCAGCTGAGGAGGATGTATGTCGCCTCAGGACCCTGTGATAATTGCACTAACTGCACAAATTGTAGAGCATGTGTGTTTGAACAATATGAAATCTGGGCACCTTGAAAAAAGAGCAGGATAACAGCAATTGTTCAGGGAATGAGAGAGATCACCTTAAACTCTGACCGCTGGTGAGCCGGGCGGAAAAGAGCCATATTTATCTTCTTTCAAAAGCAAATGGGAGAAATATCACTGAATTCTTTTTCTCAGCAAGGAACATCCCTGAGAAAGAGAATACTCGCCTGAGGGTGGGTCTCTGAACTGGCCCCCTTGAGTGTGGCCGTCTTCTATGGTCGAGACTGTAGGGATGAAATAAACCCCAGTCTCCCATAGCGCTCCCAGGCTTATTAGGAAGAGGAAATTCTTGCCTAATAAATTTTGGTCAGACCAGTTGCTCTCAAACCCTGTCTCCTGATAAGATGTTATCAATGACAATGGTGCCCAAAACTTCATTAGCAATTTTAATTTTGCCCCGGTCCTGTGGTCCTGTGATCTCGCCCTGCCTCCGTTTGCCTTGTGATATCCTATCACCTTGTGAAGTACGTGATGTCTGTGACCCACACCTGTTCACACACTCCCTCCCCTTTTGAAAACCCCTAATAAAAACTTGCTGGTTTTGCGGCTTGTGGGGCATCACAGAATCTACCGACATGTGATGTCTCCCCTGGATGCCCAGCTTTAAAATTTCTCTCTTTTGTACTCTGTCCCTTTATTTCTCAAACCAGCCAATGCTTAGGGAAAATAGAAAAGAACCTATGTGACTGTCGGGGCAGATTCCCTGATACTTCTCTTTTTAAAAAAACAGAAAAAACGGAGATGGAAAGGGATGAGAATGCAGGTGGGAGGTGAGACAGACAAAGAGATGAGGTGAGGCCAAAGGACAAGGTGGCCCTTTAGTGCAAGACCCATGGGAGTCCTTATAAACTGAAGGGTAGGAACCAGGGGCTGAGCAGAGGCTGACAACACAGAGGAAAGGACGTTTCCAGATTCCTTAGTAGCTGAGCGAGGAGAAGACCCTGAGCATGAGTAGAGGAGCATGGCATGAACAGACAGAGGACTCTGAGAGCAGAGGAAACAGAAGACGACTGTCCTGGGGTCAGATGTGCAGCAGGGGATGTGCAGCAGGGGATGGGCAGGCAGGCAGGGAGTTCAGGCAGGACTCATAAGCTGTGAGTGCATGGAGAGGCAAGCTGGCTGACCGTATTTACATAAATGCAGTTATTACAAAATCCTTACATAGATTATACTTTTCAAAGAACTATAACATACAGAACACCAAAACTATACAAAATAAAGCCATCTGTTTTAGACAATTTAGAAAATACTTAAGCATATGGCCATGTTCTTCATTATGAAGAATAGACCTTTACTGTGTAAGTCTGAAATTCTGAGCTGCCTTTGAATGGGCTCCATGATATGCTCTGAAAGCTACTTTAAAAACAAACCTCTGATACCCATTGGTTTATTTGTCTTCTGTCTCTTTCTCAAAAAAGTTGACTATAGAAGACATTTCCAGTAACCATAATTTAAGTGATTTCAAAGCTAGATGAATAGGAGTTTCCTGCACCGTCTCATAAGCATTACATTTGCCCAGAAAACTGCTTAAACTTGACTTCAGACTGTTACTACACTCTGCTTCTATAATGGATCAGTTCTCTGGTTTATATGAAATTCTAAGACGCTTGCATAAGATTTCATCGTACTCATTCTTACATGAACTTCATGATATAATGAAATAAAAATGTAATCAGATAAAAATCTCTAGGCAAATTACTTCCTAAGTGACAAATCACTAGAAAGTGAGAATTGTTATAATTCCAAGTCTGTACTCCACCTCCAGGGATGTGCTTTCAGGAACAAAGGTGGATCTCAGCATTCCAATGAAGCAAGAGTGGCTGTGACTGTGGTCCGGTGCAGCAGAGGAAAGACCTGTGTCTGAGCAAGAGGCCACGTTAGAGAATCTCCCTAAGGACAGCCTGGCAGTCTTGACCCTTAAATGCCACAACATCTTTGTAAGTTAATATTTGCTTCACTTGTACTTATTTTCTAGGTCTCAAATATGTTTCAGTAGCTTCAATGACACTCAGCTTTTATCCCTCCTCAGAGTAGCTTGCTATTGCATATACTTTGAGTAAACTGCACCCATGGTGCTCATCTCCCTCTGTCAGTTTTCTCTCAGAACTGTAAATGAAGTACCCATGCCTGCAATTTCAGCAGGGCAGATGGCAATGATTCAACTCTTGCAGCAAATTAATTTGGCCTTGAATCCCCACTTGCCTCCCTGCCATGGGTCAGATATCATATTGGGACACGTGCTGTAGTTCTATGAGTCAGTCAAGGCATCTCTAAAATGAAGGTCAACACACTCTTCCCATAACTGCAATGAGGATATGTAATCAAAGCATCTGAGCAGTCTCTGGCACAAAGTAGGTGGTAGATAAATGGTAGCCACCAGTAATTGAAGGTTCTCAGCCAGTGTTTAAATGAATAATGCTGCCAGACAGGCATGGCTCAGAAGACACTTATTGTCCAAAGCCACCACAGCCCAATTCCTGCTCTCCACTCTGTCCCAACACACACACCCAACCCTTGCAACATACACACTCTGAAGCAAAAGTGTGAGTTAAAATGAACATAAAGATGCTTTAGTGTCGCTTCTCTTTTTAATTTGGCGCACCGTTATGTTTTGTGGTTTGTTTCAGTTTATCCATGTTGCATTATATACTTTTGCTTTTAGTGTCTGTTTGCCAAAATTCCCCTGAAATTATCCTAGGGGAAAAGCATAGAATGTGTATTAAGGTCAAATCCATAAGTAACTTACTCATTTAAACTTAAATCCTTCATAAAGGGCTTATAAAAATATTCAGATTGGTGGTGTTTATGAGACTGTCCCTTAAAAATACACAAGAGAACATAAATGCAATGTCGGGGATTCTGTCATTTGTGCAGAAGTTCAAAGAGGTCCTATGTTGCGGCCCCACACGTGTGCTAAGGACACAAAATGACTGAGAAAAGTAGCACATGCAAAGTCGACCAACAAGGTATCTTAAGAAACAATTGCATTTTTGCCCAACAAAAATTTCTCTTTTGAGAGAAATAAGAAGAAAATAGGGTAATTTCATTTTTCTTATTTGCCATGATTTATATAATACTGGCAAGCATTTCAATGGAGCATTCTCAGTTTCCATAGGCGGAGGATTTTTTCTTTTATATTCCTTGGGGCATCTTATAAGGCGTTACAATTGCTTTGTACAGCTTGTGGCTTTCTTTACACTAACTACAAACTCCACCTTGCCAGAAGTGTGTGCCAAATAGTAATGTTCGCTTGTTAAAATTAAATAAAGAAATGCCATAGACACTTTGATAGTTAAAAATTTTATGAAAAATAAAAACTTATGAAGCACATTTAGTTTAAACTTACAATAGCAGCTTATTTCTTCTTTTTCCTGAACATATGTCAAATACAAAGTTCAGACAAAAGACCATAATGTTTATTTATTATATGGAGGGCCTGGTGGTTTATAGTTCTTCATTTTTAATACAATTGATAAAAATATATGCCATGATATATAATAAAATAGTAAATGTATTGTTAAATGTATGTAGAAAAATCTTACCATGTGTCACACATTTCAAGATTTTGATTTCAAGTACCATATTCCTGAGAACATTGCATATTTCTACATGATTAGTTCTGTCATTATTTAAATTAGCTTTGCTCTTAAATGTCAGGTATTACCTTTGGGTTAAAATGTTGGAAATAAAACAGACCCGCTAATTTAATAACATCCATGAGACAGGTAAAAGCAAGACACTCACTCAATTTATTCCATAAATGTTGATTGATCCCTCAAATATAATGGACAGTAGGATACGGCAGTAAACACGGATCTTGTGGCATACTGAGGGACAGGTGATAAAAATAATCAGGCTGCATGCACACACATTCCATGAAGAAAATAAAGAGGGAGGAGATAAATGTCAAAATGCAAGGGTTTATACAAAAAGTGAAAAAAAATTTTTTTTTTCTGAGACGTAGTCTCCCTCTGTCCCCCAGACTGGAGTGCAGTGGCTCAATCTCAGCTCACTGTAAGCTCTGCCTCCCGTGTTCACGCCATTCTCCTGCCTCAGCTTCCCAAGGAGCTGGGACTACAGGCGCCCGCCCTAATCTTCGGTATTTTTAGTAGAGACTGGTTTTCACTGGGTTAGCCAGGATGGTCTCGATCTCCTGACCTCGTGATCTGCCCGCCTCAGCCTCCCAAAGTGCTGGGATTACAGGCATGAGTCACCGCGCCTGGCCAAAAGTTTTTTAATGTAAGCAGTGTTTTTTGTTTTTTGTTTCCAAAAGTGACGGATGAACTGTAATCTGAGGTTTGATTTTATGGTTGTTCTTTCACTCATTCTAAGTTAGCTACACTCCCTCCAACTGGCTGCTGTTAGAGAAATATTAATTCTTCATTTAAGATCTTAGGCAGAAGCTCCCCAGGCTTCCTTCTCTGGTTCAGTTTGCATTCCAGGGGAGAGCACTGGATGGTGAGAAAGCTACAGAAAACTAGTGCCTACACGAGTAGACTTGAGTCAGGGTGCAGGAGGTCACAGATCTTCAGGGCTTGGCCCTCAGGGGCATTCCTGGCTGACCACTGCCGGGGGAGACCGGGTGTGCTGGAGGCGGTGGCAGCTGCTCGGGATCTCTACCCAACTCCACATTCAGCGGCGTCACGTTCACAGCTTGGCATCGCCCATGGTAGGAGTATTTAAGCCATGAATATCAGTAAATACTACAATCCAGATCTTTTCTCCATTATCTGGTTATTACAAATTTGCAGTGCACTAGTGGGTGGAACATATTTTTGGTGACTATCTTAGCAGCTGGACGGGCTCAGTTCAATCAGGCAGATGAAACAGGCTTAAAATAGGAGCCTATGAAAATCTGGGCCCAATAAATCAACTACAGAAAAAAGCAGTTCACAGTGACTCCACCTAGGTAGCCCCCTCAACAATCAGACTTCCATTTTATGCTAATTGAGCATTTTTTCCTTTTAGTACTCAGCTTTTAGGAAAAGGAATAATTGAAAACGAAAAAAACTGAAAGCAAGAGCTGATGAAAAATATCATGTCCGGGCCATTTTCTGCACACTTGGCAAAATACCCCGTCCTCTTGGTAGGATCAGCCTGCCAAGGGTGGCAGCCACCACGACTCTGAGATGTTCTTGCTGGAGCAAGATTAAAGGCGTAATAGAAAGATTCTCAACAGCAAGGACTTAAAATGCTGTCACTGAGTAGGAAACACAATTAAACTGAACACCCTTTTGAATTAGTCCATTTCCTGAGGTTTTATCATATATGTCCAAGTAACTATGCAGTCTAACGGTGAAACAGACACTTCCTGCCGCACAAGCTCTTCCTATCTCCTTTTGTGAAAGAAAGAATACAAATGTCTTACTCATTACTTTGTTTCACTTAGTGGCCACAAGGACCAAGGAGGAGCCTTGCGTTTCTGACCTGGGTCACACGCGGGAGGAGGGGGCGAGCTGCACACTTCCTGGATTTCTTTGCTTCGCATCCTCTGTTCTCTCCGGAGACTGGCAGCCACTTTTCCATGTTATCTGATTCGTCTTTCAGATCTCTCAGAGGTCAGGGTTTTGCTTTTCTTTTTCCTATTTTATTTTATTATTATTATTTTTTAAAGGTGACCCCTTTGGAAGCTCAAGTTCTTGGCTCAGCAAAGCCTCCGAGGAGGACTCTGATTTACGCACAGAAATTTGAAATGGGTTAGATGGGATACTTAGCAGGATGCAGTTTCCAGGTCTGTTTAAAGGAGACAGGTTGCAGCGCAGGCCGTGGGTGGGGGACGCCTTGGCTCCCCCAGGCCATCGGAGAGGAGCTGATGTAACAGTTCTGTGACAGCCAAGCCTTTTCTTCAGATTCATGCTTTTTACTGATAAATATTGTGAACATTACATTTACACAAAAGAATGTCTGACTAATCTCTTGGCACAGCGCAGAATCCCTTAGTTTTAAATTTGAACCAGTTGAAAAGCAATCAATACACATTTAAAGAATGCAGCAAATATCAGACTTTTAAAAAGTCTATATATATATAGTGTTTTCAAATTTGAGGTATTTAATCGTACCTAAAATGAAAGGTAAAGCGTTCTTAGACAAACTACAGAATTTTCCTCTCTCTGTGGTTTTTCAGTAGTCCAGCTCAAAGCAAGCCAGACTAGTGCTGTCTACAACTCGTAAGCTTTTCTGGGGTTGATAACTATAGCAGGCTCGCTTTATTTTATTTTATACTCTATTTGCTTTAGGTCAAATTGGAGATATAAAAACTGCATTTTTAGGGGAATAAAATGTGTAGAAAGAGGGCAGGAGACCAAACCCAAAGAACTTAGACGTGGATTAATGTATTTAGACTAAGGAAGATTCAAAATTTCACAAGCATACCCTTCCTTAATAACAATACCATACACTGGTGTGGTGACGCCCCACTCATAGGGCAGCCTTGCAGCTGTGATCTCACAAGAAAGCAATACGTGAAGGCTCATACACGCCATTAGGAAAGAAAGAATGAAGTCTGGCTTTGAATAAGTATCAGTTTCCATATTACAGTAAGGGAAAGCGGGGGAGCTATGAGGGAAAACCTGAAGGCTTCAAATCAAAGGAAGCTCCATGGACTCTGATTCCAGAGTACACTGTCATCTAAGAAAACGTTTCATCAAGCCTGTCAAACAGACAGAAGTCTTACCAAAGTCAAAACAGAGGCATGGCCGCTCCAAGCAAAGAGGGGCTGTTGGATACTCACTGCTCTCATTTGCCAGCTTAGGACTCTCACTGACAGGCACGCTTGATTTGTTTTATTTTTGTGCTGTGATTTCCCTGTTCCACCAAGCACTCTGCACTTCCCTTTTGAGGGGAGGGAGCCAGAGTTTCATCCTTTTTTAAAGTCCAGTTCTTAAACAGTGCCTGGCACATAAATATTATAAATAAAATAAACACAAAAGTTTTGTTGTAAATGAATAAATGTTATAAATGTGGAACAAATGATTTAGCCATTCAGATCCCAGGCCTTCATGCCATCACATCCTGTTCCACAAGTACGCATTAAATTCAGATTTTTCTGGATCTAACATTATAATAGCCAAAAGTTCCCCCTATTTATTAGTGACCTAGAGAGATTTGTGGCCATCTTCCTTGGAGCATCCATTTCTCCCCTATTTTACCGGCCAAGACATCTCTTCCCAGGCAGTAATTCAAAGAAGAGGAACATTTGGAACTAGCCTATAAAGCATTTGGGATGAAAGGTGCAGAGTAATGCACGTCTACTCACGGTGTCCAAAGTCAAACATTCCCCTGTCCTACTTGTGCAAAACTTTTACAACACTTCACCTTCATCCCTGTTTAATGGTTTAATTCAAATGCATTAACAGGAGAGAGAAAAAAAGATTTTTTGGTTTGTCTCACTGCTGACTCAAAATGATTTACGGTACTTTGCTGAGGTTTTGGCTGACTGTGGTCTCCCAGCTGCTGTTGTAAAGGTATCCATGCATCAGTCTTTATGTAAACACTCACAGCATTAACCACAGCTGCAATATGAATTAGAGCCATAGAAAACACTCTTGTTTATGTGATGAGCTGGAGCACCTCAACTCACTGCCCTTCTGAAATGGAGAACTCAAGAAAAGAAATTAAAAGTGTGAGCGAGCTGCAAACGTGCACGCATCATATGAAGGTGTTATGCTGCTGCATGCATGGGTACCCCACATATGCTGTTGTGACTGAGGCAATTCATAATGCTATGAATTCCAGACCAGCGCAAAGAAACTCCGAATTATTTTGATCAGATTCAGACATGTTTTCCCATATCTTTAAGTAAGATTGGAATGTTTGAACAAAATGCTTTTGCCAGTTGCTTGCTGTAAACAAAAATTTTGCATTTCAAAAGTTGCATGTTGAGACCATTTCAAAAAAGGAGTAGAAAATCACATCCACAGCCTTTGAGGGGCTGAGAAGTTATTGGCAAGACTGTGAGAGGAAAATGCCTCTACCAACCTCTCGGGTCTCAGGACAGATCCCGCTATCCTCTCCCATAACTTAGTCTTTTACAGTGTTTAATGGAGTTTGATACAATAGAGCAGATGGACGGAATGTTAGAATGTGTATGCTTGACCTGAGGGAGATCTTGGGTTTATAAAAGTAGGAGTGGTGGGAGATATGTTATTATTTCCTGATCCTCCTTTATGGTGCTGTAAACAAAAATAAAATTCTAAGGCCCCCAAGAGACTGAATGGACTGCCCCTCAGCCCAGGAGGCCCAAAGAAGCCTAAAAAACCAGTTCAGACAATGACAGGAAGGTGGGGTCCAACATGCCTCATTATACCCTCTTTCCTTTGGAGTTGAGGCACCACGGACCAGCATTAACATTAAAACAGAGATCCTAAGACTGACAGAACAAACTTTTTGTGGCAATAAGATACCAAATTCCAGCCTGACTGGTATAGCATCACATGACAGCAGGCCTTGAGGTACATCTAAGTATTTTACCTTGAAATATATTTCTTTCACATATCTTGAAATGGCCCTGCAAAGCTGTCTCTTGTGGGGGAAATTTACATTCTTTAGAAAATCTCCTTTCCTTACTAGGTCGCTTTGGAGAGTCTGACACCCTTTAAGATCCCATAAAAGACATTAGCATCTATTGTCTCTGAAGCAAGCTACCTGGAGACTTCATCTGGATGACAAGAACTTGGCTTCCACAACTCCCACCCTCTTACCTTAACTAAAGCTGATTTCAACTCTTCAGGCAGAGCTTAACCCTTTCAACCAATTGCCAATCAGGAAATCTTTAAATCCACCTATGACTTAGACGTTCCCCCTTTCTGGGCTGTCCAATGTACTCCTTATATGTATTAATTTATGTCTTTGCCTGTAACTTCTGTCCCCTAAAATGTATAAAATCAAGCTGTAACCTAACCAGTTTGGGCACATGTTCTCAGGACCTCCTGAGGCTGTGTCATAGGTCATGATCCTTAGCCTTGGCAAAAACAAACCTCTAAATTGATTGAGACCTATTTCAGATACTTTTTGGTTTACAACACCATGGATAAAACCTACATGATCTGGTCACATTTACTTAATGAGTTTCTCTCTATCCTTTGAAGAGAGTAAAATAACTAAAACATCTTGTCAAAAACAAAGACATAGGCAGTTATTAAAGATAAATTTTTTTGAAATTCTGTCTTAAAGTCAAATGTGTCTTAAATTTAGAGAAAGAGGTCTTTGATGTCTCTGTAGGTAACCGATGTCTCTATAGGTAACCTCCTATTGTTTGTCTAAAAGCACCATGGTATGACATACAGAGGCTGTCCTTGGTTTTTCTAAGCCTTTTTACTTTAAAATAAATAAAGAATAGCTTATTTTAAATGGTAGAATTTTATATTTGCTATTCTAGACTGCAATTATAAAATTAAGAACTCTGACATGTAACTGTATTAGGTGCAAGTCACTCATGATTTGGTAGGGTCTGAGGTGTAGATCTCAACTGAATAATTCTTCCTACTCTCTCTCTTCTCTATTTATCTGTCATCCAGCTATCTAAATATATATCTACTTATAATTTTATTGTATTTATTTATTTATTTATTCTGAGACGGAGTCTCGCTCTGTTTGTCGCCCAGGCTGGAGTGCAGTGGCGCCATCTCTGCCCACTGTAAGCTCCGCCTCCTGGGTTCACACCATTCTCCTGCCTCAGCCTCCCAAGTAGCTGGGACTACAGGCGCCTGCCACCACGCCCAGCTAATTTTTTGTATTTTTAGTAGAGACAGGGTTTCATCATGTTAGCCAGGGTGGTCTCGATCTCCTGACCTCGTGATCCGCCTGCCTTGGCCTCCCAAAGTGCTGGGATTACAGGCGTGAGCCACCATGCCTGGCCTATCTACTTATAATTTTAATAGACTCTAGAACTTAATACTTTCAAAGGATTTTTCCTTATTACACAAGTAATGTATATTCACTTAATCATGAGTAATCCCACCATACAGAAATTAACCACTGTTAACAAGTTGTTACATATCCTTCAGGACTTCTTTCTGTTCTCTCTCCCTCTCATTCTCTCACTCTTTCTCTGTGTGGTGTGTGTGTGTGTGTGAGAGAGAGAGAGAGAGAGAGAGAGAGAGGGAAAGCTCACAGACTGCAATGTAACAGACTTAATTTCTTGTAATAAAATTATTTCAGGGCAACCCATATTCCTAAAAAATACATGTGTAATGGCCACCAACCATTTCAATGCATGAATGTACCTTAATTTATTTAGCTAGTTCCTCTGGGTTGGGCACAGTATGTTTCTGTCTTTTTTGGTTGTTTCAATAATGAATGACGCTGTGAATACAGCTGTCCCTTTACACATCCTTAGATACGGATATATCTTTAGATCAAGACATAGTGAAAGAATGGCCTTGCTTATGACTTTTCAAACTTATAACTAAAAATGTCTTCTGAAAATTGTATTAGGTTCTAAGTTGAACCTAAGTTGGTGGTATTTGAGTATTTTTGCCTACAAAACAACAATATCATATGACTAAACATACTATATAAGCACAACACTTTTTTGAGAGACTTAATAACTTCACATCCAGCCTGGGCAACATGACAAAACCCCACCTTTACAAAAAATACAAAAATTAGCAGGGTATGGTGGCACATGCCTGTGGTCCCAGCTACTGGGGAGGCTGAGGTGGGAGGATCAATTGAGCCTGGGAAGTCGAGCCAGCAGTGAGCCATGACTGCACCACTGCACTCCAGCCTGGGTGACAGAGGAAGACTGTCTCAAAAACAAAACAAAACAAAAAACCCACATCATCACATAGCCATGAATTCTCCACCTGCTTGGAAAATATGTATCGAGTAGCTCCCATAATCTAAGCAGCATATCAGTCACTGTGTTTCCGGGGATGAGCAAACCACCCATGGTCCTAGCCTTCTGCAGTTACATCCAGAGCAGAAGAGACACAATAATGACAGGCAGTGACATGATTGAAAATTACAGTAAGTTTTAGGAAGGAAAAGAAAAGGAAAAGCCAGGCGTGGTGGCTCAAGCCTGTAATCCCAGCACTTTGGGAGGCAGAGGCAGGAAAATCACTTGAGCCCAGGAGTTCAAGACCAGCTTGGGCAACATAGGGAGACCCATCTTTACAAAATAATTTTTAAAATTAGCCAGGTGTGATGGTGCAAGCCTGTCATCCCAGCCACTCTGGAGGCTGAGGCAGGAGAATCACTTGAGCCTAGGAGATCGAGGCTGCAGTGAGCTAAGATTGTACCACTGCATTCCAGCCTGGGCAACAGAGCCAGACCCCTTCTCTAAAAAAGGTAAAAAAAAAAAATATGAAAAGGAAAGGAGAGAACACTCTAAGTTGCAAAGGGACTTAGGGAAGGGGCATTTAGGCACAACAGAGTGGAGGAAAGACATTCTAGGCTGAGCAAACAGGAGGGTGAGGACCCTGGAGGCAAAGAACCCTATTAGCCCATATAAGAACTCCTTGGAAGAAAGGGAAGAATGGCCAAAAAACTGTAACCAGGGACAAGGCTACAAGGTTGGAGATTACAGTGGGCAATTAACTTTTCACATATTTACCAATTTAATCGGTTAAAAAAAAAAGATACCTAGCTTTTTCCTTAACTTACATTGTTTTATCCTAATGACAATTGAACTGAACGTTTACATTACATTGGCCACTTAAAATTCCTTTTAATTTCCTATTTTTGTCTTTCTCCATTTCTTCATTGGAGTAATTTTCTTCTTCATTTCTAAGATTACATATTAGAAATATTAATATTTTTTCATTTATTTTGCAATATGTTTCTTAACCTGTTACTTGTTATTTGCCTTTTAACAGAGAGTTAATTATGTGTCCCTTAAGTAGTTACTGTGGTGCATGCTACACAGAGTCCCGCTACCGTGGGAATACACTATGTCCGATATCCCATTTTCCATTGATTTGGGATGATGGAATTGTACCTCCTCTATATCCATCCAGACACTTGCTGGAGGAATTTAAGAACCCTGCACACTATCACTGTGTGCCAGGCAGACGTGTCATGGAAAGAATCCTTTCATGGGTTGGAATGAAGGGGCGGTGACATGATTTGGCTATGTCCCCACCCAAATCTCACCTTGAATTGTAATAATCCCCACATGTCAAGGTCAGGGCCAGGTGGAGATAATTGAGTCATGCAGGTGGATTCTCCCAAACTGTTCTCATGGTAGTGAATAAGTCTCAAGAGATCTGATGGTTTTACAAAGGGGAGTTCCCCTGCACAAGCTCCCTCTTGCCTGCTGCCATGTAAGACGTGTCTTGCTTCCCCTTTGCTTTTTGCCATGATTGTGAGGCATCCCCAGCCATGTGAAACTGTGAGTTAATTAACCTCTGTCTGTTATAAATTACCAAGTCCAGGGTAAGTCTTTATTTGCAGCATGAGAACAGACTAATACAGGTGGTAACTCAGGTGAACAGATGGCATGATGCCGCTATTTTTCAATACTGGAAACAATTTCAGTCTATCAAAATATTTCTGACTTTGTTAGCTTTCATGTGCCACCAATGAGATTCCATTAAAGTGCTTTCATACAAAAAAGGGAGTGTTAATTGAAAACTTGTCATGTTCTAAAAACTATGGAGGTAGTGACTACTGTAATTTTCCCAGTACATGGGTGACGAAGGGCAGGCATTGTGAGGCTTCCACATCCAGGAGTGAGGTTAAGTCCCTCCCTGCAAGTCATCACCAGGCGCAGAAGCAGGTCCATGACTGTGTTCAGGCCCTGCAGCTTCAGGTGCACATTCATACTCCTGCGGCTCTCATGGCGAGCAAAATTCAGTGGAAAAGTATGAAAGGGGCTTTTACAATACCACTCCCCCGCAAGTCAGGTAGAAAACCCATTTTCATTCCTATTTTTAAATTTCAGAGAGCATTTGTTGATATGCTAAGGAATTTCGACTGATCTCAGTCAGTAACTTGAGTTGTGTGAAAAGAATTAGAAAAGAGGAGGGTTAGGAATTGTCAGTATTGTGTGTACGTGTGTGTGTGTGTGTGTGTGTGTGTGTGTGTGTGTGTGTGTGTGTTGGGCTCCTTGGGCAGAGCCAAGAGCACCTAACCTAAGCCTAAACACCTGGAATAATGGGCTTAACTTAATGCCTTGTTCTTCACTCCTCTTGAGACCTGACCCAGCAGGATAATTTCACCTTTGTTAAATTGTAACTTACCATGCGGCAGATACTATTCTAAGGGTTTACAAATAGTAACTCATTTTATTTAATCCTCATGTCTACTACATAAGACAAGGACTATTACTATATCCACCTTACAGACGTGGCAACCGAGGCCACAGAGAGGTTAACTGACTCGCCCAGGATCACACAATCATGAAGCAGAAAAGCCAGGATTCTCACACAGGCCACCTGGCTGTGATGTCTGTGCTCTAACCACTATGCTACAGGGTTGCTTCTCTGATCAGACTGTTTCTGTTTTCGTCCTTACCTAATTCCATTAAACTATATAGATAGCTGTTACCATTTTTTTAAATGTCATGTTTTGTATGTGAGGAGAATATCATGGTAGAATTCCTGGTTTTCTTCTTGGGGAAAGTATGCTGTGGGAGACCTGCAGAAAATGTTCTCCGCGATGCCACACATGATTATGAATAGAAAGATTTGCTTGCCTGGAAGAAGCCTGAATTGTTTCACAGTAATGAACAAAGAGGAAGGTAACTGCTCTCAGATTGTAACTGCCCAGAAGAGCAGTTAGGCAGCTGAGAGCTACTCAGGGGGCAGAATTAGGAGTTGGGGATGAAAATAACAACGGAGGTAGATTTTGTTCCCTTTAAAGAAGAGCTGCCTAGCAAACAGAATTGGATGACAACTCTCCATTGTTTGAGAAAAGACTCTGTTCCTGGTACTGTAGATAAAATTCAGTGCAGAGGTGAAAGGAATGGGGCACATTGCTCTTTCAAGTCTTGAGAACCTAAGATTTTATGAAAAAGATATTTTAGTGTGCATAAAAGAAACTGGCTGGATTAGAACCATGAACAAATCTTGGCTTCTAGCAAGGCAAACTTTGTTCACCAAGAGCAACTGGGGCCGCTGCTGAAGTGCCAGAACTCTTAATTCTGCTGCCAGTGGGCCGAGCATGCCACATTGTTCACTCCACCTTCTCTCATCTGCAGCATGACCACGGCCCCTGCTCCTGCCTCGCCAGCAGCAACGCTCCGGCAGTGGCTGGACCAACAGTCACCTTCCTCACGTGCAGCTTTCTTGAACCCACATTTACTTGGAAGGACATTCCAAAACTTTCAGTACTGTCATTTTTCTTATGACTTTTGAAGAAAGATGTGATAGTGGGCCATAATGGGAAGTAATTTATTAAAAATGGCAGCCTCAAAACTCTCTTTTCTACACAGGGTCACAGGTTGGTATCTTTGGAGATGTCTTGGGAGGTCTTTGTATAGGAACCAAAATTCCAATTACTTTTCAAAGCAAGAGAAGCAATGGTTTGTGGAGATCACTATTAGGGCTGTGAGCTTGCATCTGCCTTCCCAGCAGTTTCTAGAACTAAATGTGATGCTTTCTTTCGCAAAGCATGAATGCCTCTCCTTGGGGCCTTGCCTTACTTTCTAGTCAGCATAGTTTTAGCATCTGAGTTCTGAAATTGCAATGTCGCAATTTCTCTTTTTATAAAAAGTAATGCAAACTTTACAGCTCATAAACCTTCATGGGATTTATAAAGGTGGAGCTTGTCTTGGAATGTCTCCTGGAGTCTGGCCTCATTGAGGTTGCCTTTTAACATACTCCTCCGAAAATTTTTTTTAAAAAGAACAAAAAAAAGTCTTAGGAAACCAAAGAATGGAGGCTTTGCAACAACCAGCCTGTGGCAAGTCCTTGGTCCAGGGCTACCGATGCGAAAATGTTGCCTACCACTGTCCCTTTATTTTTGCTGATGTGCTAGTTGGCTAATTCTTCTGGATGGGGGGATGTTAAGGGCCTGGCAGATAAGTTGTAAGAGTTCTGCCAAAACTAAAAGGCCTGGGGCTAGAATTCCAGTGCTTGAATGTAGGAAGGAAACAGTCAGATGTCATCGCTTCAGGACAGGCAATCAAAAACATAGCCCAGTGGAATATATCTTTGCTAGAGATAAGAAAAACAAAATATTGAAAGCTCAATTTTGCTGGGTTCTGTTTTGAAGACAAAACTGTGGGACTGTGCAGACAAACCAACAAGTGCTCCTTCCAGTGTGCAGCTCGTCTGGCAGGAATCCTGCAGTGAAACCAGGCTCAGGGCATTGTGCTAGAGCCCTTTAGCTACTGACTCCCTCCTTGTGAATCCCCCCATGACTTCTTCCCTTACGGTCCTGGAGATCTGGGAAGTTTTTAAGCTTGTTTAGAATTTTTATTTTAAGTCTACTCTGGTTCTTCCACAATGACGACTCCTACAACAGACTATCCAGCTTACTGTCATCAAGAGAAATGAATATTTAGTTTATGAAGAGTAAACTATTTACTAGAAAATTACGTGTAATGACCAGGAGATGGCAAAAAATTAAACATAGCTCCTTGAAATAGTTCAGTGGAGCCATTAATGCTAGGAACTACTATGTGAATGAATGAAGAGTGACCTCCCTTGGGTTAGTACTTTACAGATTTCAGGGTTCTTTCCTAGCAAACACAAGGAGGTTTCATGAAATCTTCTTGGTTTTGAGGTTGGCCTCTTAACTGGGGCATCCTAAACCCTTTGGAGATATGTTCTTTGGAGCAGCTTGTGCATGTGACATCTCACATGTCCCAGGCCCACAATACTGGTGGTGAGTTTCATACAGGGAGGATGAGGTCCATGTTCATCCTGTGGCTGGGATTTGACAGATTATTGGGAAGTCTCACAGATTTGCCTAAATATCTATATGTTATTTCCCCTCCGTACAGAGCTAGTTCATTATGTCTTTGTGCTCCATGTAACAGGTGAAAGCTCCATGTAACAGGTGAAAGCAATGAAAAAACAGACCCTATATTAAAACATCAAGCTGGATTCCCACAAAATTGGATTTTTTCTTCATTCCTCTCATTCCCCTAATGCTTTGTCTCCCAAATTTTGGGAATTTTCTTCCAAGCGCCTAATCCTCCAGTGCCACTTCTGGTCTCTCCTAAGCAATCCAGGATGTCCTAGGAGTCCTTTTCACAGCTTCTTCCCTGACATTTTGCTGAGTTATGCTCTATGTTCTCATAGCCTTTGCCTGGACTTTTGGTTATCTAGGAAAATGATAAATTAAGTCACGTTAAAGTGTTCCTTTAAAAAACTGCTATAATTCAACCAGTTCTGACACAAATGGTGGGTTTCAGAGAACGGAGTAGAGATGAGAGAAGTGGCTTTTAGCAAGAAATTACGCAGGTGACTTTCAAATAAATCATCTACATAGAAGGCACGTTTTGCCTCTAATGTGCAAATAATTTAGCATCTGAAATGGCATGTAAAGATCTCATTTTAGATTCAATTCCACTCTAATTCATCAAAATGGGAAGTAAGGCATTGTGGCATAACAATTGGGATCAGAAGACCTGTGGTTACATCTCAGTTCAGCCCACAGAACTAACCGGGACTGAGGCCATTGGTCTTAGACCTCTCATCTGTGGGATGGGGTTACTAAGACTGATTTCCTATGTTTCTTTGCAAAACTTGAAATAATTGTGTGAAGAGTACTTTGCAAAGAGATAAGTGCTACAGAACTATAAAGTACTAAATAAAAGCTAATATATTAGGCATCTAATAGGTATTAATAGCAGCAAGGTCTGACCACAAGCAAACACCTATTTTAGGCACTGACTTCTGCCAAAAATCCGGAGCTAGATGGAGGAAGGAAAGGCTCATAAATCAGTCTCCTTAAGAGGCCTCCTTGGGAAGTCAACAAAGATTTAGTATTTTTAGCTTGTAGTTTTAATTAGATTTGAGCAATTCCAGAAAAATACTGAAAATTAATTATTTAGGCTTTACCTGTCATGAATAAAATATATTGTTCTAATAGATGATTATAAACATACTGAAAGATTCTTCATGACCAGAAAAAAAGGAGAATATTCAATAGATATTTATAAATTAATTTATGTTGAACAATGAAGATGACTTTTCAAAAAGCACATTTCTTTAACATGAAAGAGATAACTAGGTAACAATTATTCACACTTTAAAAGTAAGTTTACATTAGGCCGGGCACAGTGGCTCATGCCTGTAATCCCAGCACTTTGGGAGGCTGAGGCAGGCAGATCACAAGTTCAGGAGATCGAGACCATCCTGGCTAACACAGTGAAACCTTGTCTCTGCTAAAAATACAAAAAAATTAGCCAGGTGTGGTGGCAGGCACCTGTAGTCCCAGCTACTCGGGAGGCTGAGGCAGGAGAATCACTTGAACCCAGAGTGGCAGAAGTTACAGTGAGCCGAAATCATGTCACTGACTCTGTCTCAAAAACAAAAAACAAAACAAAAAAAAAATGTAAGTTTACATTCTTAACATGCTTTCAAGAAACAATTCTTTAAAAAGTGGGAGTTTTCATAAATCTTATATTTTGGGTTGTACCAAAATTTTAATTCTGAGCCATTGTTTAGCTCATGGATATATGCCAATAGAATAGCTGGAACTGACAATGAGGATGCAAAAAAGTTATATTATCTACCACAAAAGTGGTACCTGTCTAATAAAAAATGTATATTTGTGAGAGGCCTGTAGTTTGCTAGTTCAACCATTGTGGAAGACAGTGTGGCAATTCCTCAAGGATCTAGAACCAGAAATACCATTTGACCCAGCAATCCCATTACTGGGTATATACCCAAAGGATTACAAATCATTCTACTATAAAGACACATGCATACCTGTGTGTATTGCAACACTATTTACAATAGCAAAGACTTGGAACCAACCCAAATACCCATCAATGATAGACTGGATAAAGAAAATGTGGCATATATACACCATGGTATACTATGCAGCCATAAAAAAGAATGAGTTCATGTCCTTTGCAGGGACATGGATGAAGCTGGAAGACATCATCCTCAGCAAACTAACACAGGAACAGAAAACCAAACGCCGCATGTTCTCACTCATAAGTGGGAGTTGAACAACGAGAACACATGGACACAGGGAGGGGAACAGCACACACTGTGGCCTGTCAGGGGTTAGGAGGCAAGGGGAGGGATAGCATTAGGACAAATACCTAATGCATGGGGAGCTTAAAACCTAGATGATGAGTTGATAGGCGCAGCAAACCACCACGGCATATGTATACTTATGTAACAAACCTGCACATTCTGCACATGTATCCCGTGACTTAAAGTAAAATAAAATTAAAAAAAAAATACCTCGGCAGAGGCAGTGTGACATATGACTGTGTTAGTTCATTATTATGTATACTCTAGGGACATATATATGACTATGTTAGTTCCTTATTATCTATACTCTGGGGACAGTGAGTTTCCCCTCATCAGAAACAAACTCCAGGGAGTGGTTCGCCAGCCTTTCCTACAAAAAAACACACTTCAGAGGAGGCTTTGGCCATCTTTGATTAGCACACGAATTTGTTATTTATTAAAATAAATGTTAAAGTGAGTGTTCATTGGTGATTGCTGATATTCAAGATGCGTGAATTAGTGAGTACCTCATAAAGCCCTGGCATGAATTGGTAATAAAAATCTAGTGAGCTCTTCCTCTTCACCCTAACAGATTAGCACCTTTTAGTTAAGTACAGTGATTCTGTAAAAGTACTGGGTCTAGATACTGATTTCACAGGATCAGTGCTACATGGATGCCAACAACATAAGCGAATCTTACCTGCAGAATATCCTAGTGTTTTCCTCCAGTGAACATTTTACATAAGGTATCCTTGTAGTTCTTTCTAGAACTAGGATCAGGACTTTATGAAGAATATAGGACAGGACACATTACTGCTTTTGTGCCTGCTGATAATGTTCACATGTCTAAAAGAATTCAGGCCGGGCACTGCTGCTCATGCCTGTAATCCCAACACTTCGAGAGGCCCAGGCGGGCGGCTCACAAGGCCAAGTGATTGAGACCATCCTAGCCAACATGGTGAAACCCTATCTCTACTAAAAAGACAAAAATTAGCTGGGCATGGTGGCTCGCGCCTGTAGTCCCAGCTACTGGGGAGGCTGAGGCAGAAGAATCGCTTGAACCCGGGAGGCAGAGGTTGCAGTGAGCTGAGATCATGCCATTGCACTCCAGCCTGGCTACAGAGCAAGGCTCCATCTCAAAAAAAAAAAAGAATTCAGTCTGAGATATATTTTCATGGTTACCCATTACTATAGCAAGGTTATAGAGAAAATATATATGGCTCTGCATTTCTTCTAAATAACAAGGATTTTTGGTATTTACTAAAAATAACAATTGTACACGACCAAACTTGCCTGGGTTTACTTACAGCATTACAACATTGATTTGAAAATATCAATTGTCTCAAAATTTAAACATCTTAAACATAAGGGACTTCCATTTTTGTCAGTATGGCCAACTAGACACCCTAAACAATTATCCCAACTAAAAAATGAAAAAAAATGTTGGGGTCAACATTTTTTAGACATTTAAATGCATCAGTGACTGAAAGTGGGAATCCTTAGAGAGAGTAAGGAATCCTTAGAGGACAAAAACTAAGTTAATAGCAGGCTCGCACTCTAGAATTGTCTTCCCTTTCCCTTGTAATATTAGATAATAATACAGAACACTCTGAGATGATTATCAATCCCCGCTTACACCCCAAGTAGACAGTACAAATGAAGACATCTGAATAATGAAGTTGGGACCCTAAAGGGTTGCTTGTTTAGTATAAATTTTAATTGGAAATGAACCCCACACAAATTCACACATCCTAAATGATCTGAAAATATTCTGAGAATTCATTTTAAAGTGCTACCAGGTTGGTAGAGTCCCTCAATTGCCTAGTAGAAGCAAACACATTCTTTTAAAAAGGAATACGTTTTCATTCTAAGCCTCTAAGTATTTCTCTAGGACAAATGTTCCAGGAATAAGAGATGAAAGTAACAGTAGGAAAACATTCAAGAACCCAAAGAAACATAATTGGAAACCAAAAGTAACAACTGAGAGTTATTGGGATTACTAGACTCAGAATATAAAATAAATTGATTTAATGTATTTAAATAAACAAAAATGAAGGTTGAAATGTAAATAGGAAGCAAAAGACCAAAATGACTGATACCGTTTGGCTCTGTGTTCCCACCCAAATCTCATCTTGTAGCTCCCATAATTCCCACATGTTGTGGGAGGGACCCAGTGGGAGATGACTGAATCATGGGGGGTGGGTCTTTCCAGTGCTGTTCTCATGATAGTGAAGGGGTCTCACGAGATCTGATGGTTTTAAAGATGGGAGTTTCTCTGTACAAGTCTCTCTTCGCCTGCTGCCATCCACGTAAGATGTGACTTGCTCCTCCTTGCTTTCGGCCACGATCGTGAGGCCTCTCCAGCCATGTGGAACTGTAAGTCCAATAAACCTCTTTCTTTTGTAAAATGCCTAGTCTCTGGAATGTCTTTCTCAGCAGCATGAAAATGAACTAATTCAGTAAATTGGTACCAGTAGGGTGGGGCGCTGCTGAAAAGATATCCCAAAATGTGAAAGCGATTTTGGAACTGGGTAACATGCAGAGGTTGGAACAGCTTAGAGGGCTCAGAAGAAGACAGGAATATGTGGGAAAGCTTGGAACTCCCTAGAGACTTGTTGAATGGCTTTAACCAAAATGCTGATAATGATATGAGCAATGAAATCCAGGCTGAGGTGGTCTCAGATGTAGATGAGGAACTTGTTGGGAAATGGAGCAAACACAACTCTTGTTATGTTTTAGCAAAGCGACTGGCAGCATTCTGCCCCTGCCCTAGAGATTTGTGGAACTTTGAACTTGAGAGAGATGATTTAGGGTATCTGGCGGAAGAAATTTCTAAGCAACAAAGTATTCAAGAGGGTCCTGTAAAAGGCATTCAGTTTTAGAAGAGAAGCAGAGCACAAAAGTTCGGAAAATTTGCAGCCTGACAATGCAATAAAAAAGAAAATCCCATTTTCTGTGGAGAAAATCAAGCCACCTGCAGAAATTTGCATAAGTAATGAAGAGCCAAATATTAATCCCCAAGACAATGGGAAAAATGTCTCCAGGGCATGTCAGAGTTCTTCATGGCAGCCCCTCCCATCACAAGCCTGAAGGCCTAGGTAAAACAAGTGATTTAGTAGGCCAGGCTCAGGGTCCCCGTGCTGTGTGCAGCCTAGGGAATTGGTGCCCTGCGTCCCAGTCACTCCAGCCATGGCTGAAAGGGGCCAACACAGAGCTTGGGCTATGGCATCAGAGGGTGCAAGCTCCAAGCCTTGGCAACTTCCACATGGTGTTGAGTAGTCTGCGAGTGCACAAAAGTAAAGAACTGGGGTTTGGGAACCTCCACCTAGATTTCAGAAGATACATGGAAACCCCTGGATAACCAGGCAGAAGTTTGCTGTAGAGGCAGGGTCCTCATGGAGAACCTCTGCTAGGGCAGTGAGGAAGGGAAATGTGGAGTCAGAGCCATGACGCACAGTCCCTACTGGGGCACCACCTAGTGGAGCTGTGAGAAGAGGGCCACTGCCATCCTGTAGACCCCAGAATGGTAGATCCACCAACAGCTTGCACCATGTGCCTGGAAAAGCCGCAGACACTCAACTCCAACCAGTGAAAGCAGCCAAGAGGGAGGCTGTACCCTGCAAAGCCCCAGGGGTGGAGTTACCCAAGGCCGTGGGAGACCACCTCTTGCATCAGTGTGACCTGGATGTGAGACATCGAGTCACAGGAGACCATTTCGGAGCTTTAAGATTTGACTGCCCTGCTGGATTTCAGACTTGCATGGGGCCTGTAGCACCTTAGTTTTGGCCAATTTCTGCCATTTGGAATGGCTTTATTTGCCCAATGCCTTTACCCCCATTGTATACAGGAAGTAACTAACTTGCTTTTGATTTTACAGGCTCATAAGCAGGAAGGAACTTGCCTTGTCTTGGATAATACTTTGCACTGTGGACTTTTGAGTTAATGATGAAATGAGTTGAGACTTTGGGGGACTGTTGGGAAGGCATGATTGGTTTTGAAATGTGAAGATATGAGATTTGGGAGGGGCCAGGGGCAGAATGACATGGTTTAGTTCTGTGTCTCCATACAGAGATATGTGAGAGTTGCAGAAGGGACCCGGTGGGAGATGACTGAATCATGGGAGCAAGTCTTTCCAGTGCTGTTCTCATGATAGTGAATGGGTCTCACGAGATCTGATGGCTTTAAAAATGGGAGTTTCTCTGAACAAGCTCTCTCTTTGCCTGCTGCCATCCACGTATGATGTGACTTCCTCCTACTTGCCTTCTGCCGTAATTGTGAGGCCTCCCCAGCCATGTGGAACCGTAAATCCAATAAACCTCTTTCTTTTGTAAATTGTCTAGTCTCAGGAATGTATTTATCAGCAGCATGAAGACAGACTAATGCAATGACAAATGAGGATTTTTTAAACAACAAAAAATAAAATAAGAAATGAAAACATAAATATTTAAAACAAATACTCGGTGGATGAGGCAATCATCAGTTTGGGCACAAGTGAATAGGGGATCAGGAAATGAAAGCTCAAAAGAAATTATCCAAAATACAACATGAAGGACAGAGTTCTACCCTAATCAGAGTTTTAAAAACTAAAAAATAAAAAGACCAAGAAAGAAACAATATTCGGTGGGATAACGTGTACCAATTTTTTCAGATTGATGAAATCATCAGTTATTGAATTGTATTATGACAGCCTTTGTAACACAAATGAAAATACAAATGGACACAGATATATATATATCTCAGTGACAGATTATATATATCTTAGTAACATATATATATATATATATCTTAGTAACAGATATATATATATATATATATATATATATCTTAGTAACAGATATATATATATATATCTAAGTGAAAGTAAAGAACACCAAAGACAAAGAAAATTTCTTAAAATCAGCCTGACAGGAAAAGCAGATTGCCTAAAAAGGAGGAAAATTAGTGTGAACACAACATTAGAGGCAAGAGTGAGTAAAATAATATCTTGAAATTGATGAGACAGTGTCCACTTTCAGCCAAGATGGGTTATAAAATTCAGATTTATTCTCCCACCAGAGACAACCAAAAGCAAAACAAATAAAAGCATATCAAAGACAAATTTATGAAACAAGTATTTTCAAGACACTGAATTTCAGGCAACGAAAGACAGTGGTTCCTAAGGGGGGAGAAAAAGAAGCAAAGCTAACTGTTGCTACCAGATTCTTGCCGTGAGATAATGTCCATGTGCAGTGCAGGGAGGGAAGAAGAAGCCAGGCAGAACCCAGGGTACTCCCTCAGTAGAGGAGACAAAGCTAAGAATCCAGGGATGTCAAGAATGCTACAGTTCACAGGAAAGAGTATTAGAGAATAGATTGCAGCACAGAAGAAGGGCCCCGGAGATCTGTGAATTCAGCCAAGTAGTGACCAGTACATGCATGTGAGGAAACTACCTGAATCTGAAGAAGACGCCCTATGATTTTTAGGTGTTATTTTTTAGAGACAAGATGTCTCTCTGTCACTCAGGCTGGAGTGCAGTGGCACAATCATAGCTCACTGCAGCCTCAAACTCCTGTGCTCAGGGGATCCTCCCACCTCAGCTTCCCAAAGTGCTGGGATTACAGATGTGAGCCACTGCACCTGGCTGAAACTCTCTAAAAGACCCTCTCTTCCTTAAGAGAGAACAGTGCCCACCTTTCTCACAGAGGAATACTGTCTACATTGAGTAGAATAATCAAAAGGGTCTTGCCTCAGTAGTGGGGAAAAATGCCCATGGATTGAAATTGGTCTGGTCTTGCCTCACAAATGTTTAAACAAAACACCCCCAAGAGATCAAAACATTTCCAAATAACTTAACTGCATTTCAGAACCAAGCTTAAAAATATGTATAGGAATATAAAAATGTCTAGCACCCAACAAGGTAAAATTCACAAGCTAGGTATCCAATAAAAAATGACCACATATATAAAGAAGCAGAAAATAGGACCCATAATCAGCAGAAAAAATCAATCAAAATCTTCCCAGAACTGCCAAAGGTGTTCAAATTGGAAGGCAAGAAAATAAAAAGTTATTATAATTGCATTCCATATGTTCAAACAGTTAAGTAGATATAGAGAAGACATCAAAAGAAAAAATTGGACTTCTTGAGATAATAACTATAATGCCTGAAATTGAAAACACACTGAATGGGGATTAAAAGCAGATTAGACACTGCAAAAGAAAAGATTAGTGAATGTGAGGATACAGCATCAGAAACTAACCAAAATGAAACACAGGAAAAACAGTCAATAAAAATAAAGAGTATTACTGAGGTACAGGTGACTCCAAGTGGCACAGTATACATGTAATTGGACCCCAAAATCATGGCAGAATATTTCCCAAATTTGATGAAAACCATAAATGTATAGATTCAAGAAGCTCAATGAACCCTAGGAACAAGAAAGATAAAGAAAATCACCCTATGGCATATCATAATTTAAATGCTCAAAATCAATGAAAAATAGAAAATCTTAACAGCAGCCAGAGATAAAAGTCATGTTGCAGGCAGACAAACAAAGATAGGAATGACAGCAGATTTTGTATCAGAACCAATGAAGTGAGAGGACAGTGGAGCAACATTTTAAAAATACTAGGAGAAAAACAAAATATATGTCAATTTGTAATTTTTATACCCTACAAACATATCTTTCAAAAATGAAAGGGATGACCACTGGGAAACTGTGATTCTACCCCCACTCTGCAGCAACAAATCAGTGTGAGTCAGGCCTCCACTTCTCCTCTCCCTGGTGTTAACAGGGTTGAGCAAGGAGCTGAGATTACATCCCCTTTTGAAGGCAATGAGATGGTGAGAGACAGTGCTCAATAGTCACTAAGACAGTGTCATCAGGGTTGAGGAGGAGCTGAACTTCCACCTCACCCATCTGCAATGAGGCAGTGTGAGTGAGCTCCACTCCGCTGGGCTGGTGCTGCCAGGGCTTAGTGGAAAGCTGAACATATATACTCACTTGGCCCTCATACTGAACCTCAATAGGGGAACTACTTGGTTTAAAACAAGATTGAATAGTATCTAGAATCTCATAATACAATATCCAAAACACCTATGATAGATACAATTAAAAATCACTCATCCTAACTAGAACAAGGAAAATTATAACTTGAGTAAGAAAAGGGCACTAACAGACACCAACCCTAAGATAAATCAGATGTTGGAATTATCTGGCAAGAATTTTAAAGCAGAAATTGTAAACATACGTCAACCAGCAATTATGAATTATCTTAAAACAAATAAAAAATGGAAAATTTTAATACAAAATAGAAGTTATTAAAAAAACAACTAAGTGGAATTTATGAAATAAAAAAGTTACAAATCCAAAATCTTTAAACACATTAGAAAGTTATAATAGTAAAACTGAGAGAGATGATAGAGGATAGAATAAATATGATGAACTTGAAGGGAAAAAAATCTGTAGAAAAAAAGCAGAAAATAAACTAAAATAAATAAATGAATCAGATTTCAGAATAAATAATCTTTTGGGAAGAGAAAAAGCACTGAAAGCAGCCCGAGAGAAATGATGCATTACGTCTAAGGGAATGACATTTCAAATTAGAATGGGTATCTCACCTAAAACCACGGAGGCCAGAAAAAAAGTGACACAATATTTTTCAAGTTCAGTACTGAAAGAAAATAACTGTCTGTTGTAAATTTTGTGTCTTATAAAAGTATGTTTCAGGAATGAAGGGGAAATAAAGAGATTGCAAGTAAAAAGATGGGCAAAGATGTGCCATGAAAACATCAAAAAAGGTGAAGGCCAAAAACTACTTTCAATAGAAGAAAACTAAAATGCTTTACCAGCAGAGTCTCTCAGAAGAATTGCTCTCAAAGAAGAGAGTTCTCTCTCAAAAAAGAAAGTCCTTCAGATGGAAGGAAATGATGCCGAATGAAACTGTGGGGGTACAAAAGACAGAAAGGGCACTAGAAATGGTCACTACATAGGTAAGCAGATAGGATAGTTTATACATTAAGTAAATCTCTTTGAAAGATGAATGTTCAAACAAATATGATAACAATATATTATGGGCTTTATAATATATAAGGACAACATATGTCATTAATAGCACAAAGGCTGGGAAGAGAGAAATGCTAGTATACTATTGCAAAGTTCATAATAAATGAAGTGGTTTAGTATTACCTGAAGGCAGATTGTGATAAATTAAAGGTGAATCATATAAATCCAAAGAAACCCACTAAAATAATTAAACAATTAAAATAAAAATGAAATTTAAAAGCACACATTACAAAAGAAGAAAAGAAAAAAGAAAGAAAAGAACAGATAGTGCAAACAGAAAAAACAGTGGATGACAGACCAGTTTAAACATATCAATTATCACATTAAATGGAAATGCTTTCAAGTATATGGAGGAGCACACCAAGATTTCTAAGACATAGGTAATTTTTTAGTTTTATTGCTAATCTGCATGTCTTAAAAATAATTTCAATATATAATAAAAATTTAAATATACATGGATGAGTCAATACAATATTACATTAAAATTATTGTAACTATAATCATGTATGTGATTGAACTATCTTTATATTCTGACCAACAGCTCTTTATTTATCAAAGCTTCTTTACGAGATAAAATTAATTTTGTTGACTTAGAAGACTTACTAAAGGGTATGTGTTACAAAAAAATTCGTGTGATGCATTTTTTTTGGTTTAATGCAATCTTTCACTACCAGCAAATGCCAAATAACCCTAATGAAATTTGACCTTGTGCTTAATTTGTTGCATTGATGATGTTTTAAGATTGATGCATTTTGTTTTCTTGCTTCTTGATTAGAATGGGTGTTGAGAGTCTGTGAGTGTGTTCACTAATGAGGTTAGGACATGATAGAAATCACTTTGGCGATAGAGATACGCGCTCGAGTGCTGTGGGGTACTGTGTGCAAATTTAAGCTTGCAGAGGGGGAAATGTCTGGAAGCAGATACAAAACCACCGTTGATTCTTTTTCCAAACTGCCATATAATTTCATAATATTTTACAAAGATATGATCCTCTCTGTCAACTCACACTTATGATGGAGAATTTGACCTTAGATTGATTTTATAATGTGTGTATGTTACAGAAATACAAATACACAAATACATTAAATGGTGTGTTTTGTATAGATACATACAGATGCATACCTTCACTTTCATAACAATATATGTGAGGGTGTTACGGCCTGTTTATAACAGCCAGCCTTTTGTAAACAGGTTGCTTTTATGAAAGCATGTTTTCTCTGCTCCTGAATAATAGATGAAATGTGTCCATCTCAATGCAAAATTAGAAAGTCCTTAAAAGAAGGCTGAATATTAGAACCCTGAGTATTCATCATACAGAAATGGTCATTTGTTGGTTAGTAGAAATTGTAGTTATATCTATTCTGAGATAAAATTTCCGAGGAAGTAATTGTATACATTTTGAATTTTTTAATTGGCTTATGACTGAGAAGTAGGAAACATTTTTTTCTCATTTCCTGCCAGTTTGTAGCAGTCTAAATCAATACTAATGCAGGATATGAGTGATGAGTCTATGTACATTTGCCCTTCACATAATCAATGCAATACACCCTACAAAAACAAGAACAATCAAACAAATTATATTAAAGCAACCTGAACATGCTCAAATAATGCTTTTAAAAAAGAGGTTGGGCTAAAGATCGCACTTGTTCTCAACATTCTTCGTAGGCATCCTCCAAGGGCTTTGTTCTCTAGCCCAGGGGTGACAGGAGAGCTCCAAGAACCTGGATTCCCACTCTGTCTACAAGCACAAAGTGAGGTCAGGGTAAAAGTCAGCCATTCTGGCTCCCGGGTCCCATGCAGCAGCCCTGCACCACATTTTTCTATTCCATCTGGATAAACAATCTCAGAAGTGCATTGAATTGGTTGTGACACCAGCCACAATTGGTTGGAAAATTATTGCATTCATACAAGGCCAGCTTATGCAGAGTATCTAAGGGAAATGCAGAGAGAAGGTGTTTTCTTTCCAGACCCTCTAAGAAGTCATTATCAGATACTTCAAAACAGGAGGGAAAATCATTCAGGAGACTGACACACAGTTGTGGTCAAAGTGATGCCTCTCCTATTTCTCAACTTACATCCTCCACAATGACTGTCACTGATAACAAGACCGATAAGCAGAAGGCAGCCTCCTCTGGCTCAGAAGGCCTTCTAATAGTGTCCTTGAAAGACAGCAATACATTTCAAATACTTCACCAAAAAACACTGGGTGAATAAGATTGAGGCAGTAATGATGGTTTGTTTTAAATCTTATGAAAACAAAGAAAAACAATATTACTTTTAAAAAATGAATGAACCAGGTGTTGAACTCGATTTACATTTGGTAAGAGTTTCTAAAAATGTTGGCAGTACCCTATATATTTTAATGAGGGTTAATATTGAAAATAAATTATGAATTATAGTTTAACTCCAGCCAAGGGGTTAGCATAGATAAGCCCACTTTTTTCATTTGCAAATTAGTATGCTCTATGTAACGAGACGGGGGAAAGTCAATAGATAATCACCAGTCGTCACATCACTTAAAAACTTGAGTGTCTGCTGTGTGCCAGGCACGAGGCTTAAAGCTGAAGGTAAGAAAGAAATAAGCCTCTCTGAAATAGTTCACAATCTAGTGGAAGAGGGAGACTCAAAAACACAACAAAACACATGCTTGAAGGACAGAATGGAAGACAAGGACTGAACAAAATCTACACTCGCAAAAACTAAGGCATGATACTTTGTCATTTCACTGTGATATCTGATCACCGGGTGAATATTACTTGTGTCTTTGGTTATTTCTTCCAACTAGGGAACGAGAAAAGTAAGTTATTGTATATGTGGCTTTATCTATTTCCAGTATTCTGATAACACCCAACTTTGTGTCTCTAAGATTTCTTTTCTAAACCATAGATCCATTTACACACACATTGATCTCAGGATTTCAAACACAAACCTGTCAAACATTTTCCCTTCCCCTTCCTCCTCTTCCCTCTTCTGTACCAAATCCGAGCTTCCTCGTACCGGCCTTACACTGTTTAAACGGTATCTTCATCCACTGAGTTAGCTTCTGTCTCCCATTCCTCAACATGGAATTAGACAATAAGCCTCGCTGATTTTACTCCCAAAATATTTCTTGAAGCAGTCTCCTTTTCTAAAATCGCTCTGCAATTGCCTTAGTTTGGATTCTCATTGTTTTTCACCCAACAGTCTGTGAAAGTCGATCATACAAATTGGGTCATTCTTGTTATACCCAACTGAAACAGCTGAGAAGCTGGGGGAAAAAAACACTCAGGGCACACAACATTGCTCCAAAAATGTAATTCTCTGCAAGTCCAGGTGCTGAAACTACCTGCTGTAACCCGAAACTGGTTTTATCTAATATTTGCTGCAACCACCTGCTGCAATTCTATGACTAATTTTACCCACTGCTGTCAGTAACCAATCAGAGCTTTCCAGCTTTCCAAAACTTTACTAATACCAAAGAACTTTCTCACAAGACAATACATAACATTTCCCTTCTTTATAAAACCTTCTCTTTGTTTCTCAGACATACCAAAGACCATCTGGTCTGTGACTCTTCCCCGAATTGCAATTCTTGTATCCCAAATGAAATCTGACGATTAAGTTGAGGGATTCATCTCTACATATTTTATTTAACTTTGACAAGTCTCTGACCTGTCTTTCTGCCTCCAATGCCCAAATCCCTTCTCACACACATGCATATCCACACCCCAACACGTATGTGCACAAAAATTCACACCGTTGCCAGATAATGTTTCTAAAACGTCATCTGCTGTGTTGCCACCACTACTTAAAACCCTCAGTGGCTCCCTTCCACCTATAGGTTAAATTCTAAACTCCTATAAATGATATCTAAGACTTTCCAAGTTCTTGGATTACTTTCCAAGGTCCACCCCTGGAGGAGAACTTTAATCATTCTTTTGGGAACCACTTCTTTTTATCTCATATTTATCTCTGTACCAGCTTCATCATATGTTATTACAGGACTTGTTGATAAGTCTACCTGTCACCCTTGATTCTGAATTCCCCAAGGGCAGTGGACTGTAGCTTACTTATCTATCATTCCCTGGAGCTAGAACACTTTGGGGACAAGAGTGTGCCAAAATATTCAAGTAATATTTGCCAAATTAATGAATGATTATGAGATATGAAACAGGAAAATGCTATGAAGAATTTATCACTGCCAAATATTATACATAATTATAACTGTACTTTGTCAAGTATAGGGCTTCTTATATTGTGAAACTGTCTCTGAAACATTATCTGATTTGGCCTCCACAATAGCTCTTGGGGAAAGTCATCATGATCTTGAGAACCTGTGGCTGCTTAGTGGTACAGCAAAACCAGAATCTACTGCTCTGATCTCTCTACTCTTCAGTAGAGCCCCCAAAACAAACAGTGAAACAGTGAGAGGAAAATTCCAATGTGTTACCACTGTGGTCGCTGGCTCTTTTTAAATCATTTTTTTTCTTATTAGATTATAAGTTACACAGAGTAAAATTTTTGCATGTATAATTTCTCAATTTCTTACAAATCCATACAGTCATTTAACTACCACTACTGTCAAAATGTAAAGTTCCATCAGCCCACCAAATTCTCCATGGTCATTGTAGTCAGCCACTCCCCTGATCCTCCACCCCATGGTGAGCAATGATGCACTTTCTACCCTTACAGTTTCACTAATTATTGTAAATATAATCATATAGTATGTAGCATTCTGATACTGTCTGAATTCACTTAACATAATGCTGAATTGAGATGCTCTTGCATGTACCCATAGTTTGTTGCTTTCTATTGTTGACCTGTGTAGTCCATCCAGGGACCAAGTTTGCTGAAAGACATTGAAGTTGCTTCCAGTTGGGGCAATGACGAATAAACCTGCTTTAAACATTTGCTTAAAATTTTAAAGTCAAATTTTCACTTCACCGGAGGAAATATCACCCAGTGGGATTCCTGGACTGAATAGTAAGTATATGGTCAAATTTATAATATGTTGGAAGATTATTTTTCAAAGTGTCTATATAATTGTACATTCCCGCCAGAAATGTATTTGAATTCCAAGTGTTCTACATCTCCATATTTCCTCAGCATTTGGAATGCCTTCCCTTCCTTCCTTCCTTCCTTTCATCCCTCCCTCCATCCCTCCCTCCCTCCTTCCTTCCTTCTTTTTTTCATTCTAAGAAGTATATAGTAGTCATCTCCGGTTTTTAACTTGCACTTACCTAATGACTGTGATGTTAAACATCTTTTAATGTGTTTATTCATCATCTGTATATCTTCTTTGGTAAAGTGTCTATTCAAAAATTTTGCCCATTAAAAAAAATGAGATGTTTCCTTAGTATTGAGTTTTAAGAGTTCTTCATAAATACTGGATACAAGTCCTTAATCAGATATATAGTTTGTAAATACTTTATTCCAATTTGTGGCTTGCCTTTTTATTGTATTAACACTGGATTTTGAAGAGCAGAAGTTCTTCATTTTGATGAAGTGTAATTTATCAGTTTTTTCTCTTATGAGTTGTGATTTTGATGTTGTATTTAAGAAAACTTTGCCCTTCCCTAACCCAAGATTACAAACATTTTCTCCTATATTTTTTGCAAGAGTTTTATGGTTTCAATCTTTGCATTTAGGTTTATGATTTGTTTTGAGTTAATTAATTTTTGTATATGGAGCAAATTAAGAATTTAAGTTCTTTTTTTAATATAAAAAAACACTATTGTTGAAAAGTGTATTCTTTCTTCACAAAATTGAATTTGTATCTCTATGGAAAATCAAGTGGCCGTGCACATACATGTGGGTCTATTTCTGTACTCTTTTTTTCCTTCACCAATAGCAAACTGGCTTGATTACTGTGGTTTTATAGTGCTATGATGACCTCGTATTCACCTCATTAGTGAGGAAGGCATCCACTGCCCTAAACAGAATGAGATGGTTGAACACATCGCAACACTGGGCAGATAGATGGGCAGCATTTTATTACCCACATCTACTCATGGTCCTGCGGGAGGACACTGCACACCACACAGGGCCACACCGGGGTGCACTTGGGAACAGATGAACAAGCAGGGGCAGCAAGAGAGAGGCAGGCTTTGAATATCAACAGCACAGGGTGCCCCTGGTTACTATGTGAGGACGATACTGCCTTGTTTTAATGATTTGCGGCTGGCAGGGAACTGAAGTCTGTCAGATTGAGGACCAGGTGGTGTGCAGCTGGTTCAGCACAGGGTCACATCTGCTGAAAGCAGGGAACTCACAATATGGCCTTTAGGGTCCCTTGAGGCTTAAAAATATAAGACAGCCTGTGAAATTTTAGGCCTTACACTATATAACTCAGTCTTGAAATCAGATAGTGTAAATCTTCAAATTTTTATTTTTCATTTTCAAAATTACTTTGGCTATTGTAGTTTTTTTTCCATATATATTTTAGAGTCAGCTTGTTGATTTCTACAAAAATATCCTGCTGGGATTCTGACTAGAATTGTGTTGAACCTATAGATCAGTTTAGAGAGAAAGGACATTTTAACAACAGTGAGTCTTCCAATCCATGAACACAATGTATCTCTGCATTTATTTAGGGTTTGTTTCATTTATTTCTGCAGCATATGGGTCTTGCATTGTTTTTAGATTTATATCAAAGTATTTTTTGTATTATTGTACATAACATTTTGTTAAAAAAGCTATTTCCAATTGTTGATTGCCAATATGTAGAAATACAATTTATTTTGGTATGTTGATCTTGCATCCTGTGATGTTGACTTTTTGAAATATTCTACATTGATGGTGTCTCTGCATATTTATGTGGGTAAGGGAATCCTTCATAGATGGACAATAATGATGAGAAGAAGAGGGAGGAGGGGAAGGGAGAAGAAAAAGGGCTGAGCTAGAGTGATGGCGGCACTCGAAGTCCACTGCAGTCCACTTTTGGGACTGGTTGCCATGGTGATGGCTGTGGCAGAAGCAAGTGGCCACAGGTCCCAGAGACAGGGGAGACCAGGAGGACCTGAAGCAACGCATGAGAAGCATCTGACGCTAAAGAGAACAGAGAACTCAGAATGCAAGGCCTTCTTCTCTCATTTCTCTCTGATGTTAGTAATGTTTTCCTTGATCTCCCCAGAAAAGTATAAACTTCAGGAGATTGAATATATTTTCTGGGTTCATTAAAATTATTCTTGCACTTTAGATAATACATCAAAAATTGCTGCCAGTCAATACATAGAAGGAAACAAAGGGAATAGGGAAAAGGAGGAGGAAGTAGAAAGAAAGAAGAGATGAGAGTAGGAGAAGAAAGAGGGGCACAAAAGGAAGAAAGAGGAGGCAAAGGAAAGCCGAGAGAGATGTGGGGGTCGCTTTACTTGAACAGCTCCAGGAGAACAAAAGTTTCCTTTAATTGTATTTTGTGCTGGAATTGAAATTGTGGGTTTAAACAGAAAGAGTTTCTAAAACTCAAGCCAAATTACATTCATATCAAGATCAGCCTTAATCTCCATTGACAAAAAGGACTTTAGGAAGAGCAATCGAGGTTGGGCTCAGGTAGGAAAACGAAAACAGAAGAGCAAGAGAGCAAGGAGACAGCTATTGGCATGGCCTGTCTGGGAGGCCTGTAGTCCTTGAATCTGGTCTAGATGTTTTCTTTCTTGGTTACCTGTTATCTGAAGATTCTGAGGTGAGAGGTGTCATCATGCAGCCACTAGAATAAAGTGCTTGTATTTTAGTGTTTTGCTTCAATCTGCTTATTATAACATTTCAGTTCTGTGTAAACAACTTTAGAGAGTGCACGCTTTGGAAGTAAACTGACCCCAAAACAAAAGCTCCATGTTATGAGGAAGATATCTGCTGAAACAGGAGCCCTGTGTATGAGAAGAACATCTGCTAACACAGGGGTACCATGTAAGAAGATCTCTACTATATTTTTCACATTTCCACTTCCATTTTATCATAACTTATATAAAATTTTAAGTACAGAGAACTCCAATATTTCATTTTTATATTTTGGATTGATGTTTTCTTAGTAAGTAAGTATTACCATTAGAATATTATCATGCTTGTTTTTATATGTTTTCCACATTATAGAACACTCCTTGAGAGCAAGGATTTAAATTTTTTGTTTGTTTGTTTTTAAGCTACCATATCCCCAGCATTAGAACAGTAGCTATAACCATAGTGGGTGATCAATAAATATTTGTTAGATGATGAATGAATAAACCTGAGCTGTGCTTTTCCTAAATCTTTGACATCCTTTCTTTGGGGAGGGAGCAGTCCTCTCTCTGCTTAAGTCCAATTTCCATTATTATTAGTATTTTATGGAATTCATATATAAGGCTTTGACTGATGTGGCTATCTGGAAATGAGTTTTCACCTGATTAGCCTTGTCTTGATCCAGTTTAATCCATGATTTTCAAAAAATGTCAATAGCCTAATAATAATACCCTTCAGTTGCTGATTACAAAATCAACATACAAAAATAAGTAGTTTCTATGTATTAACAAAAAACTGTCCAAAAATAAATTAACAAAACAATTCTATTTATAATAGTATCAAAAAATACTTAGGAATAAATTTAACCAGGAGAGGAAAGAGCTGTACACTGAAAACTATAAAACATCAATTAAAGAAATTGAAGACACAAATAAATGGAAAAATATCCAATGTTCATGGATTGGCAAAACTAATATTGTTAAAATCTCCCTACTACTCAAAGCCATCCACAGATTCAATGCAATCCCTCTCAAAATTCCAATGTCATTCTTCATAGAAATTGAAAAAAAATTATCTTAAAATTTGTATGGAGCAACAAAAGACCCCAAACAGCTAAAACAATCTTGGACAAGGCAAAACAAGCCTGGAGGCATCACATTCCTTGATTTCAAAATATATTATAAAGTGATTGTAATCAAAACAGTATCGTATTGGCATAAAAACAACATCCAGGCCAGGCGCAGTGGCTCACGCCTATAATCCCAGCACTCTGGGAGGCCGAGGCGAGTGGATCACCTGAGGTCAGAAGTTCAAGACCAGCCTGGCCATGGTGAAACCCTGTCTCTACTAAAAATACAAAAAATTAGCCAGGCGTGGTGGTGCGTGCCTGTAATCCCAGCTACTCGGGAGGCTTAGGCAGGAGAATCACTTGAACCCAGGAGGCGGAGGCTGCAGTGAGCCGAGATCACACCTTTGTGCCCCAGCCTAGGCAACAAGAGCAAAACTCCATCTCAAAAAAAAAAAAAAAAAGAAATCATCCAGTGGAACAGGATATACAGTCCAGAAATAAACCTAAGTATATGTGGTCAATTGATTTTCAACAAAGGTGTCAAGAACACAAATGGGGAAAGGACAGTCTCCTCAATAAAAGATTTTGGGAGGCCAGGTGCAGTGGCTCACGCCTGTAATCCCAACACTTTGGGAGGCTGAGGTGGGTGGATCATGAGGTCAGGAGTTCAAGACCAGCCTGGCGAGCATGGTAAAACTCCATCTCTACTAAAAATACAAAAATTAGCCAGGCATGGTGGCGTGAGCCTGTAATCCCAGCTACTTGGGGGGCTGAGGTAAGAGAGTCGCTTGACCCTGGGAGACAGAGGTTTCAGTGAGCCAAGATTGTGCCACTGCACTCCAGCCTGGGTGACAGAGACTCTTGTCTCAAAACAAACCAACAAAAAAAAAACAAAGCAACAACAACAACAAAAAAACATGATGGGAAAGCTGGATTTCCACTTGCAGAAGAATGAAATTATACCCTCTTCTTATACTATATACAAAAATCGCTGAAATGAGCACAAGACATAAATGTAAAATCTGAAATTGTAAAGCTACTAGAAGAAAAAATAAGGAAAAAGCTCCACATTAGTCTGTGTAGTGATTTCTTGGATACAACTCCAAAAGCACAGGCAACAAAAGCAAAAAATAGACAAATGAGATTGCATCAAACCAAAAAGCTTCTGCACAGCAAAGGAAACAACTAACAGAGAGAAAAGACAACCCATGCATTGAAAGAAAATATTTGCAAATCATACATCTGAAAAGGAGCTAATATCCAAAATACATACGGAATTCAAGCAACTCAGTAGCAATATACAAATAACCTGATTAAAAACGGGCGAAGAATCTGAACAAACATTTCTCAGAAGAGATGTGAATGGCCAACAGATACATGAAAAACTGCCCTACATCTTCAGTCATCAGGGAAATGCAAATTAAAACCACAGTGAGACACCACTTCATGCCTGTTAGAATGACTGTTATCAAAAAGATAAAAGATAACAAATGTTGGAAAGAATGTGGAGGAAAGGGAACACTTACACTCTGTGTGTGGGAATGTAAATTAGTACAGCCATTATGCAAAGCAGTGTAGTGGCTCCTCAAAACCTGAAAAGTGTTCATCAACAGATGAATAAATAAATAAAATGTGTTATAAAAGTATATACACAATGGAATACTATACAGTCTTTAAAAAGAGAATAATTTTGCCATTTGAGACTAGGTAAAATAAGCCAGGCACAGAAAGACAACTACTGAATAAGCTCGCTTTATGTGGCATCTAAAAAAGTCCATCTCATAGAAACAGAAACTAGAAAGGTTGCCATCAGGGGCTGGGGTAAAGGGGGAAGTTGAGGAGAGGGTAAAGGGAGGGGAAGTTGAGGAGAGGGACTTCAAAACATGCTGTTCAAAGGGTAGAAAGTTTCAGTTAGACTGAAGACTAAGTGTTTGCAATCTATTGCACTGCATGGTGACCATAAGTAATAATAATGTATTATATATTTCAGATTGGTTAAAAGAATAGATTATTAACATTTTTACCACAAAAATAAGTTCACAAAGTAATGGATATATTAATTAGCTTGATTAAGTCTTTCTACAAGGTATACATAGATCAAAACATCGCCTCATACCCCATAAATATACACAATACTTATTTCTCAATTAAAAATAAATTTAAACAACAATAATGCCTGTCAGTTTTGCCTTAATAGAAACAAAAAGCTACTTTTCCCAGAAATGCATTCATGTACTTCGGGCAACCCATCATTTAAAGTAACTGTTAAAACTATAAAAATACAGACACAGTCTAAGGTATAAATTTGGCCACTTTGATATAAATTGAAATACCAAGTCTATGAGAATTGTATATTATTGAGTATAAAGTTTACTGGCACAGTTATAAAAGCATAATAAATTTAAAAATTACATCATTATTGAGAATGTTTA
Organism: Homo sapiens; assembly: GCF_000001405.40. Taxonomy (NCBI): domain Eukaryota; kingdom Metazoa; phylum Chordata; class Mammalia; order Primates; family Hominidae; genus Homo; species Homo sapiens. The sequence goes on from NC_000018.10 coordinate 10,958,958, forward strand.
CTACCATGACTCAAAGCTAATAATAAATAATTCCAAGAGTAAAATAAATGCCTGTGACTGTTACAATGTCTACCTATAACTGTAGTGTAGAGGGAAGACATTAAATATATGTCATCAGCAAAAATATGTATTAATGATTCAGTCTTACAACTGAAATGTATGCTTATTAGTAAAATGCATGCCACTAGCATATTGATTCAAATTTTTACACTAGTAACTAAAAGAGCTGTTTTAAATGGTTTTCCATTTGTCTTTGTATTTGTCTTGTTTTGTTCTCAAAGTCTTCACAGTAAAAGGTATACTTCCCTGCAGCTGAGTTCATGGAAAAGGGCAAGTGATTTTATAGAGATTTCATCAAAAACTTCACATTCTTTCTTTATTTTACACTTAACAATTATCTAAAGGCAGGCTGTTAAATAATAATTTAAGTTTGGATTATTTAATTATTTGAATGGAGAGAAATGTCACATATCCAAGTTCATTAATAATACATCAAAAAATCACATGTAGACAATCCACTGTAAAGGTTGACATGAGATGTCTTATAACACATTCAGCAAGACATAAAGAATCAATTTTTAAAATTGATTGTGTAGACTCTGCATCTCACTTTGTCAGTTTCTCAGTATTGCGTATGTATGCCAACACCTGGTATGAAACATCCATCTGATTCATATGCTCCATTACCTACCCTTTATTTCATGAAATTACAAAGTCCCATTGAGGAACAGTGAGTTGTCCAAGGGTAAAGAGAAGATTTTCAGACCTAGACAAAATTTATGGCTCTAATATAACAAACATCTACATTTCTTTTAAGTAAAACATTTATTTAACACGCCTATAATAAAGTTAAATAAATTACGTAAACTTCAATCTCATCACGAAGCATTTTTATGTTAGTAAATCTTTATTGCACCCTAGAAACTTAGAATATCTGTAAGAAAGAAATAGAGACAGCTCTTATTTCCTAAACACTGACTCTTTTTTGAGTAACTGTTAAAACAGCTATATTCCTACTGTCAGGGAACCTTAAATTTATTTTATATATAGACGTTCATCTTTTTATATTTGTACAAGTCCACAAATTATCAAATTGAAGTAAATCGTGCTTTTATCAGCTTTGGGATATTGACATCATAAGGCTGTGAGCTTGATCTGACAGAAATGGGAATGCTTTATATCTTTTTATTGAAGTTATAAAATCCTAAAAATGCCAAACCAACATAGTATGTACTATAATTATTAATATTGGTTTTATTCAACCAAATATTCTAGAACTAGTTTTAAATATTTTAAATGTAGCTTAAAGGGGCTAGCTTTAGTATAGCAGGAAGCAAAAATTCTTATACATTCAATGTTTATCTTTTTCAAGAAGCACTTACAGCCAAACTCTACCACAGAAGTAGAAATTCTCTAGTCTAAAAGATATTGTTTTAATACTCAATTATTTTCATTTAAACCCTAAAAGTATTAAAAACATGAAGAGTGAGATACCCAATCCCCTCAAAAGTCATTTATAGACACAGGGTATCATAACACCTTAGGCAACATTAAGAACAAATAGAGTTGCAGCAACTACACTACTGTAGCCACAAAGACTTTTTTTTTTTTTTCCTGAATGGGTGGGCACCTATTTTTACTTGATTGGTTTGTATAAATTAACTGTGTGTTTGAGGTTTTTTCCTGAGCTGATTACTCAGACTAAAAAAAGTCCCCCAACCTTAATTTAAAAGTTACATTCTAGATTTTCTCAAAAATCTTTTAAAACGAGCGTTGGCTAAACCTCCTGCTGCAATCTTTGTAATCACCTCTCTTAGGGACCTTGGGAAAAATCACATAACTACTGTGTCTCTGTTTCCTTATTTCTAAATGAAGAGACTGGACTGTGTCATCTGAAATGTTCCATTTGGTAGAAGAGTTCATTAAGAAACTGTGGTATGGCCCGGGGTGGTGGCTCATGCCTGTAATCCCAGCACTTTGGGAGGCTGAGGCGGGCGGATCATGAGGTCAGGAGATCGAGACCATCCTGGCTAACATGGTGAAGCCTCGTCTCTACCAAAAATACAAGAAAAAATTAGCTGGGTGTGGTGGCGGGCACCCGTAGTCCCAGCTACTCGGGAGGCTGAGGCAGGAGAATGGTGTGAACCCGGGAGGCAGAGCTTGCAGTGAGCCAAGATCGTGCCATTGCACTCCAGCCTGGGCAACAGAGCAAGACTCCATCTCAAAAAAAAAAAAAGAAACTGTGGTATATACATACAATGGAATACTACTCAGCCATAAAAAGTAATGAATTAACAGCAATTGCAGTGACCTGCATGAATGAGATTGGAGACTTATTCTAAGTGAAGTAAAGAATGGAAAACCAAACATCGTATGTTCTTACTGATATGTGGGAGTTAAGCTGTGAGGACGCAAAGGCATAAGAATGATACAATGGACTTTGGGACTTGTGGGGAAGTGTGGGAGGAGGCAAGGGACAAAAGACTACAAATATGGTGCAGTGTATACTGCTTGGGTGATGGGTGAACCAAAATCTCACAAATCACCACTAAATAACTTACTCATGTAGCCAAATACCACATGTACCCCAGTAACTTATGGAAAAATAAAATTAAAAACATAAAAATTTTAAAAAAAGAAAAAAATTTCAAAAAGAGTCAGCTTGTATAGAATATAGTGCTCAGGAGATTCTCATTTGTAATGCCACAGCCAGGTATGCTTTTAAGTCAGCAGTAAATAAAGGCAGTTTTGCACTCTATTTACAGTGCTGGAAATCCAACTCCACAAAGAGAATTTGAGTTGAGTAAAAAAGGATTTTTTTTTTCAAAAGTGATACAAGTCCACACTTATCCAACCTTAAGTGTTAAAGTCATTATAGCTAGATAGCTCTTATATCTAAGAGGAAACAAATTTAAACAAATAACAAAGAAATAGACACAAGGACTTTCCCTAGAGATCCATTAATGAAAACATCTCACAAGCATACGCATCAGCATGGAAGAGTGTTGGCTTTCCCTGGAGGGTGTGTATAAATTCAGGTGAACTGCTGCACTCTGTGGGCTCTGTGTAAAGCCATCCAGAAATGCACCACTGATTCTCGCAACGTTCAGTTTTTTTTTCCAAGCAGACTGTAATCAACTATATTAGCATGACAACAAATTCTTTATGTTGTGAGATTCTACTGATCCTCAAAACTGCCACTGAATTAGAATTATTTCCAGATGCTCTGTTCAATGAAAGAGTCTTAAAAATAATGCAAAACGATGGTGATCCCAGGCTACACTGGCAACAGGTTAAATACGCAATCGTAGCCCTTCTCCCATCCATTCTGCATCTCCCCTCCGCTTGCCTGCAGCTTTTCCTGGTCACTCACGGCCCTCCCTCGGCTCCCCACAGCCTCATACTCACAACTGGCATTTTCCTTCCACACTTTCTCAATTGTCCCTTAACACTCCTGTGAGGGGACAACCCTAAAGCCTGGGATCCCAGGAGCTGCACGCAGGGCTCGCTCCTTGCTCCTTGGTGTAGAGTTCATGGCCAAGCTTCCTCCAGTCTCTGTAGGTGTGATGTTTCCCCATCAACAGTCCCATCACTTCAGGTGACTTTATTTCATGTTGCTCTAGACCAGGCATTTTTGCCTCATTCAGCTGTGCTACATTGCCCCTCTTTCTTTGACTTTTCCTCTTACCAAGTACAAATTACTTTCTCCATAAGCAAACTTTCAGTAGGCATCCTGAGACGTAGTATCATCTCAGTTTTTTAATTTGTAATTTCATCCCCAAGATAAATCCATCATTTAGCCTCTTTAAATGGAAGGGTCATGGCTGCTAAGGCCCTTTCCAGTGATCACATACTATGAGCCCATGCTAGCAATGTGAGGGATGACTTTTCCCACTGAGCTATTAGTTCTAACAGCCCTGAAAGCTATATTCTGTCGTGAAATGCATACACCTCTATCATCTCATAAACTTTAAAAGACTAAAATTGGTCTGGGGCTATACATATACCCAGAATCATTCCTCCTGTCAAAATTAAATAGAAATATCTGGCCTGGTATGGTGGTTCATGCCTGTAATCCCAGCACTTTGGGAGCCTGAGGTGGGTGGATCACGAGGTCAGGAGTTCAAGACCAGCCTAGCCAGCATGATGAAACCTTGTCTCTACTAAAAATACAAAAATTAGCTGGGCACGGTGGCATGCTTCTGTAGTTCCAGCTACTTGGGAGGCTGAGGCAGGAGAATCTCTTGGACCTGGGAGGTGGAGGTTGCAGTGAGCTGAGACTGCGCCACTGCACTCCAGCCAGAGGACATGGTGAGATGTTGTCTCAAAAAAAAAAAAGAAAGAAATATTCTTAGAAAGAATCAGTTTGCTGTGAGATATTAGATAGCTATTAAGACAGTGGCATTTACTCTCTGGACTAAAAGCAATGTTTCTGTATCTCTGCCTAGGTACAATAGAAAGGTCTCACCAAATACATATCACATTTAAGGTCAAGACATTGAATAGATGCATAACATCCGGAAAAAGTTTAAAAAATGGTTTTCCACATTAACCGGTTACATTAGATTACAATAAGAAAAAAACTTAATTCACTTTCTGCATTTATCTTCTGTTTCTCCCAAATAGATGGCAGTACTTTTCCTACTGACTTAATTCATGGTAGAGTGAGAGACAAAGAGCACCTATAAATTAAGGTTAAACTGAGTCTTAAAACACATGGAATAATACTACCGTAACAAAAGCTATTTGTCAGTGTTATGGTTTGGTATTAAGACATACACATAGTTTATGCCTTACTCTGAAATGAAGACGACTGAGTATTTCCGTAGATGCTAATTTAGGCTGTTATCTGCATTTTGAAGTCCTCCAAGACCTGTATTTTCCACTTGAATTTTGTCTTTTCAGACTTATTCAGAATCTTTTCCAAATAGAACCTCAAGTTTCACAATAAAAAGGAATGTGGGAGGGGGGAGTAGAAAGTGGAGAAAGAGAAGGAGAAGAAAAAGATGTATTAGAGAGACAGGCTCTACAAGGTTCCCAAGAAACCACCTTCCTGCCAGACCTCAAAGAAGGCTGCCTTGTGAATGAGTGAAGCTCATCTATGGGTATCAAAGGAAGAATTATTCAATCAATGATGATGGAAAAACAGCCATTTGGGGAAAAAAATCCACTTTTCAAAGTCTCTATACCAAATAATTTCCACATTAATTAAAGTGATTAATTAATTAAAGTGATTAATTAACCTCCACATTAATTAAAGTGATTAAACATTTTAAATTATAAACATGAGCAAAAAATAGAGTACAATACATATCAATTCTGAGTGTATAGCACTGAAGCAATAAGAAAAAATAGGGACAATGGATTATAATATTTTTAAAAACTCAATGTAGTAACAATTAACAAAAATCTGTTCTTAAAAATCAACCTTGTAAAATATATTTGCAGAGAATAATAGCAAATATTCTACAGAAATAAACACAAATAGTAAACACATTGAAAAATATTTATCTTCACTATTTTTAAAAAAGCATTCGGTTATTTAAAATCTACTAAATTAGCAAAAGCTTTACTGAAATGCTAATGAGACTTTAGTGAATACGGTATACTTTTTTTCTCCTTTGTTAAGGTGAAATTCACATATCAAACAATTAACCATTTGAAAGTAAGCAATTCAGGGCTATTACTCAAACTGATGGCAGTACTTGTTCACCAGGCCATGCAACTACCACCCTACTAGTTCCAGAACACCATCATCAATCCAGAGAAACACTCCTACCCATTAAGTAATCATGCCCCATTCTACCCTACCCAGAGCCCTTGGCAACACCAATCTGCTTTCTGTCCTTATGGACTTGCCTATTCTGGATACTTCATCTAAATGGAGTCATACAGTATGTGAACTTGGTGTCTGGCTCCTTCACTTAGCATAATGTTTTCAAGGTTCCTCTATGTTATAGCATTTGCCAATACTTTAGTTTTATGGCTGAATAATATTCATATATTTTTTATGTATACATATATAACTTCATTCATCCTTTAATGGATATTTAGATTATTTCTAATCTATTTTTTCTATTTATCTACTTATTCATGGATAACATGAATAGTGCTGCTCTGAACATTTGTGAACAGGTATCTGTGTGAATACCTGTTTCCAATTCTTTTGTGTGTGTTTTCAATTCTTTTATGGCTGAGTGAAATTGTTAGATCATGTGGCAGTTCTATGTTTAATTTTTTGAAGAACCACCAAACTGCTTTCCACACTGGGTGTATGATTTTCATTCCCACCAGCAGAGAGCTCCAGTTTCTCCACATTCTTGTCAACACATGTTATTGCCACGCTTTATTTTTTTGTCATTTGTTTCTTATTATAGCCATCTTATTGAGTGTAACACTTTATCTCATTGCAGTTTGGATTTGTACATCCATAATGACTAATGATGTAGGGCATTTTTAATGTGTTTCTTGCTCATTTGTACACTGGAGTGAGGCTGTCAGTAAGGATTTCTCAGGCTCAAAGCGTTCAGAGGCTTGAAATATTATGGTGCTCTTTTAAAAAACATCTGTCTATCTATCTATCTTGGCTAGTGGTATTCTGAGAAGTACAAGCATGTTGATGAACAATATGGTACAGTCTAGAAAGTGTGAAAATAACGTCCAAATTCTTTGACCTTATAAATCCACTGTTATAAATTTATCCTAAGGAAATAAACAACAGATTTATATGTGAAAATGCTCATAATATTGAATGACAAAAATCAAAACCACCCAGGGAAAGATTTGAAACATTTTTATCTATCAACATGAGGAAAGACTATGGCAGAAATGAAGTATTTATAAAGACTATGTAGAAATGTAGAAACATGACATGGAGCAGTTAAGTGTTCTACTTTTCACCCAGGTTTGATGACAATCATAGGAACACAGATGTAGGGAAATATAAGGTCCATGAGGGGAAGGATACTTGACTTTTTTTACCAAAGAATTTTAAAGCTAAAATAATGTCTGGTACAGATTCCCGTAAATGTTTGCTCTGAACGGATAAAGAAATGGATGCAATAACAAATACAGAATGCCAATCATAATGTACATAAAATGTGAAAATATATATGCAAAAATGAAAGTGTCCAACCAGGTCCCTCATTGACACCTGGAGTTCAATCCAAACCCTCCTCCATCACGCTGGAATTCATCAGCTCCTGTTTCAGGAAGGTATAGTCCTTCACCAGCTCCTCAAGCCAGAAATCTGGGCATCATCTTAGGTCTTTCCTTCTTCCCAGTAGCCCACTCCTAAGCCATTCATTCTCCAAACTCTTGACTCTTCCTTAATATCTCCCCACCATCTTCAGTTCTCTGCTACATCATCGCCACCCTAGCTAAAGCTGTCATTCCTTCTGGATGGATTAGTGCCACAGCCTGCACAACAGTTTCCTGCTGCCAGTCTTCTCCACTGTCAATCCCTCTTCCACACAGATGGCCAGAGTGCATTGTTTCATAACACAAATCTTTACATTTATCTCTCCTTTATAAAAGTTGTTAAATTATTTCTATTGCCCATAAGAGAAATCCACATTTCTTGTTATAGTTTCCATTAGGAGCCCTCAATATTGAGTGCAGATTGAATCACTGGAGTAGCTGTTATTTTTTTAATTTAATTTTAATTATTTTTTATTTTTATAGGTTTTTGGGAAACAGATGTTGTTTGGTTACATGAATAAGTTCTTTAGTGGTGACTTTTGAGACTTTGGTTCACCCATCACCTGAGCAGTGTACACTGTACCCAATGTGTTGTCTTTTATCCCTCACCCACCTCCTGCCCTTTCCCCCGAGTCCCCAAAGTCCATTGTATCATTCTTATACCTTTGTTTTCTCATAGCTTAGCTCCCACTTATGAGTGAGAACATACAATGTTTGGTTTCCCATTCCTGAGATACTTCATTTAGAAGAATGATCTCCAATTCTATCTAGGTTGATGCAAATGCCATTATTTTGTTCTTTTTTATGGCTGAGTAGTATTCCATGATATGTGTATATATACCACATTTTCTCTGTTTTTTGTTTTTTTTTTTTTTTTTGAGATGGAGTTTCACTGTGTCACCCAGGCTCAAGTGCAGTGGTGAGATCTCGGCTCACTGCAACTTCTGCCTCCCAGGTTCAAACAATTCACCTGCCTCAGCCTCCTGAGTAGCTGGGATTACAGGCGCATGCCAGGATGCCCAGCTAATTTTTTGTATTTTCAGTAGAGACAAGATTTCACCGTGTTAGCCAGGTTGGTCTCAATCTCCTGACCTCATGATCCACCTGCCTCGGCCTCCCAAAGTGCTGGGATTACAGGTGTGAGCCACCATGCCCGGCCTATATATCACATTTTCTTTATCCACTCATTGACTGATGGGCATTTGGGCTGGTTCCATATTTTTTGCAGTTACAAATTGTGCTCCTATAAACATGTGTGTGCAAGCATTTTTTTCATATAATGACTTCTTTTCCTCTAGGTAGGCACCAAGGGGTGGGATTGCTGGATCCAATGGTAGTCCTACTTTTAGCTCTTTAAGGAATCTCCACATTGTTTTCCACAGTGGTTGTACTAGTCTACATTCCCATCAACAGTGTAAAATTGTTTCCTTTTTAGCACATCCATGCCAACATCTATTTTTTTTTATTATGGCCATTGTTGTAGGACTGAAGTGGTATCACACTGTGGTTTTGATTTGCATTTCACTGATAATTAGCCATGTTGAGCGTTTTTTCATATGTTTGTTGGCCATTTGTATATCTTCTTTTGAGAATTGTCTATTCATGTCCTTAGCCCACTTTTTAAATGAGATTCTTTGCTTCCTTACTGATTTGTCTGAGTTCCTTATAGATTCTGGTTATTAGTCTTTTGTCAGATGTGTAGATTGTGGAGATTTTCTCCCACTCTGTGGGTTGTCTGTTTACTCTGCTGATTATTATTATTATTATTATTACTTTGCTGTACAGAAGCTTTTTAGTTTAATTAAGTCCCATCTATTTATCTTCGTTTTTGTTGCATTTGCTTTTGGGTTCTTGGTCATGAAGTCTTTGCCAATGGCTAGAAGGGTTTTTCCAATGTTGTCTTCTAGAATTTTTATGGCTTCAGGTCTTAGATTTAAGTCTTTGATCCATTTTGAGTTGATTTTTGTATAAGGTAAGAGATGAGAATCCAGTTTCATTCTTCTACCTGTGGTTTGCCAATTATCCCAGCACCATTTGTCAAACAGGGTGTCCTTTCCTCACTTTATGTTCTTGTTTGCTTTATCAAAGATCAGTTAGCTGTTAAGCGTTTGGCTTTATTTCTGGGTTCTCTAGTCTATTCCATTAGTCTATGTGCCTATTTTAATACCAGTACCATGCTGTTTTGATGACTATGGTCTTATAGTATAGTTTGAAGTCAGGTAATGTGATGCCTCCAGATTTGTTCTTTTTGGTTAGTCTTGCTTTCGCTATGTGGACACTTTTTTGGTTCCATATGAATTTTAGGAATATTTTCTAGCTGTGTGAAGAATGATGGTGGTATGTTGATGGGAAGTGCTAGACTTCAGCAATCAAATCTTACTCTCCAGTGTTACTTCTTAACAATAGTTTGGGGTTCTTCAAGAGTTATGTCCATTTATAAAATAAGAGATTATATACTAAATAAAAGTGCAAGGTAAAGAAAAAATATTTAAAACAATAATTATCAATAATGTGATACACATTTGCAAAGAAAATACTTTTTTCAAAAAATAAATGGTAAATCAATATGCAAAACAGTTGTTTATAATGCATTATAATACTTTTACATTAACGTTTGATATAATATTAATGTTTTTTATGCTCATATTCTGCAACATGAATCACCATGAAATGTTTAAATATCTCTCAAGTAAATGTAAGGCATAAATTATATTAGCAACTGCTTTGCCAAGCTTCTAGATGCCTAAATTATATTCTCAATATTCAAAATCAAGAAGAATTGTCCAAATCCAAACTCCTGATTCTAGGAAAAAATGGTTTTTATTTATAAATCCACCTACCTAAGCCCTAAAATATACATCAATTTTGTAAGTCTGAAAAATAACTAAGCTTATGTCATACAAATAATATTTTCTAGAATGTCATTACTATGCTTAGCCCAATTCTGCTGCTTTCAAATGCCTTTGAAATGTCCTTCCATATTCCATAAATTTGGAAACATACAGTTATAGCTTTACATTGTTCGTCTATAATTTTGAGGTTGAGTTTACTTCCATACCACACGGACTTGCGTTAGTGCTTTTATTGTAAATAATTTACACTAGAAATGCTGCATCATGAAGCTGAGGTTAGAGAATTTGTTATTTAAGCAAACCAAATCAATCCCAAATCATTTTAAACTTCCTGCTCTGTGATTTGTCTTACAGCAAGGACTGGTCGGCATGGTGGGGAGCAGACGGGCGTGAGGATCATGACTCCCTGTTACTCATCTAGGGGCTCTTCTGCCCTCACTTCTTATTGAGACCTCCTTGTTAAAGCACAGTCCCACACCTCCTTTTCTTCTCTTTCCTTCCTTGCCACTTCTAACTCTAGCTTTCTCATTTATGGTTTTCTGTCTTAATTTTCCCAAATCCAAATGGAAATCCAAATTTTTTTTTGCGAAGGAAATAAATACCAAGTAACTTAATTGATAAATAGTTTCTAAAGAGAAATAAAACACGTCATTCTAATATTTCTTCATGAATTAAAAAGATGAGAAATGGGAACAACTATCTGAGCAGGATTTGGGGTATGCACCTGTAGGAGAGGAGTGAGGGGACAGAGCTCCTGGCCAAGAGAGGGCATGGGTGCACTTAGCCGCTCTCCTCAATTGTTTACTTGCAGGTCCAGCAGGTGAGGACACCACCGAGAATCGGTCACAAAACAAAGCAAGAGAGTCATCAAATTTTGTCTTTGCCATACCTTTATTTCTCCTTTTTTTGGCTGCTATTAATTCATTTATTCATTCTTCAATTGTTGGGCAGTATGCTATACATCAGCCACTGTGGTCAGTGCTCAGGTTACAAAAAAAAATGAAACATGAGAGGTTCTACCCTTAATTTGATCATATTCTAATGGGAGAACATATAAAATCAGTGATTATCACTCAACATTAAAAGTTTAATGACTGATACTCTGGGTATTTGGGAGCCCAAAGACATCTGACCCCCTCTACCTGGGGGTATTAACTCGGGTTATCTGGAGGAAGTGGCCAGTATTGAAGAATGGACCTGGCAGAGGACTGGCAGAGTACGTAAGGACATTCTTCCAGGGAAATAACATGGGCAAAGGCATGGCCAGGCAATAGAAAGCTTATTGGAATTGGCAACGGGAAGGAGGAGATGAGAACCATGGGGTAGGGAGAAGTACAGAAATACAGCTTTCCTGCAGCTCTTCGCCCGTCTAGATGAGCCCATTGCCCTGCATGCACACGGGTGCCCAGGGCCCCGGCACCCTCCATGGGTGACCCTGGATGCTATCACTACATTTCTTCCTTTTTTTCACAACTTAACTCTTCTGTTTTTGCTAAGTCTCTTTATCTGCAAATGAGTAAAATATCAAGGACTAGCAGGACTATAATGCAGAATCAAGACATTATAAATATGCCTGGAACATAGTGGGAAATTATACATGGAAGATGTTATCTACTGATTTAGAGCAAAACTTAGAACAAAAAAGATGTTTCACACACACACACACACACACACACACACACACACACACACACAGCTGGGTGTGAGATATGGTGAGTCAGGAGAAAGAGGAAGGAAAGGAAGGCTTGTTAGAGTACTTGATCCATGCCAGGAACTCTAGAAATTTTGCCCTATTACGGGATGAGATAAAGGTGATATAAGGTAGGGAAGGAAGCTCTGTGTATGGGCAGAATCAAAATCCCAAATCAAAGATGGGAGCATATCTGCTTTTAGAGAAACATAAATAGGGTTTCACAAGAAACAGATCTATGTTTCAGGTCAGAAAAGCTCTACATTAATCCACAATACGGCAATTTCCACCGATGGGAAGGACAGTTACCAGAACAAGGAAAGTCACTGCCCCTTGATGCTTGGCATTAATCAGGCCCTGGAGACTCCCCATGACCAGACACTGATGCTATCTCACCACTCAGCCATGGAACATTGACCAACAAGCTTGGCAAACAGCAGAGGATAAGGGACTCAAGAGGCATCTGGGAAAATACTGATGTGGCATCAAAGCCATCTTCAAAATTTTGAAAGACTGCTGTGTAGAGAATGGATTAGACTACCTATGTGTAATTCTGGCGACAGCCTCAGGATCTAGAATCTCAGGGCGACACACACTTCAGGGAAGTAAATTTCTGAACACCAAGAGTCATCCAGTACATTCTTGTTATTTACTGTTTTATTTCTATCTTTAGGAAAAACATCTCCAATTTCCTCAGGCTTTAAAAATACAGATAAAAACCATCTTAGACAAGGAGACCTTGGTTATTAACAAGTTGACACAAGGCTGTGACAGGACCCACTTGGAGGAGGTGGTAGGGACGGTGGGTTCAAGGAGGCTGGGAAAACATATCCCCAATGATGAATGCACACCCAGCTCCTCAGCCATGCAGTCCCGACTGTCCCCATGATGCACTCGTAGGGGTGAAGATATTCCTAAAGGCCAATATCATTTACCAAGTCAAGCATATACAGTCACTTCCGGCCATTCATACTTTAACCAGAGTTAGTATATTAGATTAACTATCCTCTCACCCAGCACAGCCTCCAAAATTTATGTATCCTAATCATATCTATTCCTCAAAATCTAATTAACCAAAGTCCAATTCTGCATAAAATTTTCCCCAGCACATGTATGAAGGTGCAGGGTGTACTGGAAAGAGTACAGACTGTGTAGTCCAGGAGACCTAAATTTAATTCTGGCTCTGTTACTCACTAATGAGCAGCCTAAGGCGAGGCACTTTTTGCCTCTGGGACTCACTTTCCCTACCAGTAATACGATAGTGAAAGCCAACACTTTTAAGAGATATGGTAAGAATTAGATAACAATGGCAGCTGGGTGCGGTGGCTCACACCTGTGATCCCAGCACTTTGGGAGGCCGAGGTGGGTAGATCACTTGAGGTCAAGAGTTTGAGATCAGCCTGGCCAACATGGTGAAACCCTATCTCTACTAAAAATACACCCAGCCTGGGTGACAGAGCGAGACTCCGCCTCAAAAAAAAAAAAAAAAAAAGAGAGAGAGAGATAATAGCAGCAGAGTGTTAGTTTAGTTTACATGAAAATGTTAGTTCATTTTCCTCCTAACTCTTCCATCATGTTCCTCTTTCTTCTAAAGTTCTACAATGTAGGAAAGGTAATAAATAGTGAATAATATATTTATTATCTATTCCTCTGAGCTGCAGGTCATGGGAGCAGATGACAAGCTTTCAGGTAGGTGCCGGAATGAGAAGAGGGCCATAAAATATTCGGAAGGCCAGGCCAGGCCCAAGGCTGCAGCTGTGGGGCAGGTGGAGTGAGAGACTGCGGTGGAGAGGTTGCTAAGAAGGTGAAAAATTCTGGAAGAAAAACTCAGGGTCACTAAAGACACACATCACTGATGCTGCCTTCCATCCAGTGCCATTTAGCCCATTTATTTGGGATTCTAACCACATGGAGTAGAGTAGGTACAAACCCCAATATAACAGCATTGGCAAGAAACTGAAAAAGACTATCATAGAGAATGATTTGGTACCATGCAAGTTCTGTAATTTCCAAATTTCATCCATGTGACTGTGCGTAATTTGGAGACAGGATTTGGTTTGGAGTTGCCTCTATTACCTTGTAGCAGTGTATGACCTTGGGCAAGAATTAGGACTTCTCTAATAACAGCAACAACATGAACAACAGCTTGTACTATTTGACCACTTACAATGGGTCAAGCACAGTCCCAAGGGCATGGCCTATATTAACTCGAACCTCACAAAAACCTATGAGATGATAGCTGTTATCTTCCTTTGACAGTTGAGGAAACTGAGGCACACTGGGACTCACTTTCCCCACCAGTAATACGATATGCAACTAGCTCACAGTCACCCAAGATCCTAAATTTTCTCATATATTAAATAGCATAAAAATTGTCATGAAAAATATTTGTCAGGATAAAATGAGATATTCTATTTGAAAACTGCTGCATAAAGTGAGCATCCATATCTATTACTAAAGGTGAATCAAAATATCAACACGGCATTGGCCTAAGGGTTGTTCATACGGGTGGGTGTCATGCAGTGCTACCACTCAGCTCGCCTTCGTGCCTGTGTCTAGCTTTTGGCAGTAAAAACAATGTGTATTCATTACTCCAAGAGCGTTGACTCCATCAGATATTGGGCTACAAAAGTTCTCTTTCAGCAATGCTTCCATCCAGAATCTACTGATCATAAATGTGTCTTTGCTCACTATGGAGAGCAGCAGTCTCCATCTAGGTCGGCATATGTCTCCGTGAGGCAGTGCCTCAATCACCAGGGGTGGAAGAAAACAGCACTTAAGGCAAAGTTCTCCTATACATGATCAGAAGGTATATATATGATCCACATACTTTTCAGATAAATTAGACAATGGATTCCTAATCTTTTGATGCACAGGTGGCCAGAAGTAAAGATATAGCTTGGACCAGTTTTTTAAATTGTTGTATTGAGCGGCAACATCTGCTTTCAGGAAGCTGGCCCGAGGAGAGAAGAAGGCTGTGTGTTGTGCCTGAATGAGTTAGGGAATGGAAAGAGAAGGGGACGGGGCAAGGTGAGGAACCCAAGCCTCCTCACTGATCAGCTATCAGAAGAAAGCAGGCAGCCAAGAGTGGTTTCAAAAAATGACTCAGAACATGCAGGGTGTGAGTTTGCTTTTATATATTTTGTCTCCCATTTCGTACTTATTAGCTCTTTTCTCCAGGGTACTGTCTCAAATATGAAAAATTAACATCAAGAATTTCATTTGTGTGAGAATGGAATTATTTGTATGAGGATGGATCCACCAGGTGATTCTGCAGATCTAGGGTCCATCTCCAATTAGCACAACTAACGAAGCATGGGGTGAAGTTTACAGCTTTGTGTGCCAAGGGATGAGTCAGCACTTGTACTGGCAAGCAGAGTATACACAGCAGTGGCTCACTCTGTAGTCCTCCCCACAGTCGTCGGGATGGGAGGATAAACTGCCAGGCTGGGTCTGTCCCTCAGTCTTCTTGTCGTAGGCCGACGCTTGATACCTTGATTCTTGGCACTGGGAGCCTTGTGTGTTTCAAGGATAGAAGCATGTCAGGAAAAAACATTACTGAGGCCCATCCTAATTTCTTGGTTGGTGGGCTTCTGGACCAAGTTTCATGTGCTTGTAAAAAGAGAAAAGATGAAACTCTAGATGCCCCTCCTCCCACAGGGGGAAAGAGCAATGCATCTGAGGGGGCTAACCTTTGGGGGAAGCTGAATCCAACCAGGAATGCTGCCATTGAAGGAAGCAAAGAAAATATTCAGTTAATTATAAGGACAAATATCCAAGCAAGGGAAAGTCATGGACTAAGTATCAGAAACGCTAATTTTAGCCCTTTGAAAATAGACTTATCCAAAGTCCTAGGAGCCACAGTGGAGGAAACAATCTTACACACACGATGAATAAAGAGCTCCGTAAAGATGGGGGAAGAATGGAAAGCCAGACAGATCCGTGCTCAGACTCCAGCTGAGACATGCAATGGTTTCATGCAACTCATTTGCCCTCTAGAGCCCGTTTCTTCATTGCAATCCCTACCTCAGCACTATCTGCAGGTTGGGCACTGCGTTTATACAGAAAAAGGGCACCCTCTTGGAGAAAAGAGACTACACAAAGGCATAGCCCTCCGTGGCAAGGTTTGGCCAGGAGACCAGCCTCTTGATGTAAATCAGAGGATTTCGCTGCTTCCCGCTGGATGGAGCCTGACGAAGGAATCTCCTGCTCAGCTCCTCCTCAGGCTGGGGCCTGCACACAGAGCACAGGGGTCCAGCTGCACAGCCCTGTCCACCCTGAGGACTTGTTTAGAGAATGAATAGGACAATGCTTGGATACAGAGAGTGCCTAACTTAAAGAACAGCAAAGCTCACCTGGAACAAGAAAGGAAGGAGTCATTAATTGAAAAAGGAATAGAATAATCCCTAGGGTCTCATGGTTCATAGATGCTCTATAAACAGGAGATATTATCATCACAAATTTTCCCTATATAGTTTCTAACTCAAAAGTTTCTTTCAATGAATAGCATGCTTTAAGCACAGCACAAGAATCCAGACTGGCCTTCAAATTTCACTAACATCGCCACACATCTAACACGGAGTCAAACAAACTACGTCTATGTAATCTGTAATGACATAATTGAAACCGGGTTTACATTTATTTAAGTAGCATAGTTTTGGTGGAATGAAAATATTTTAGTAAGCGGCACAACATATGTTTGAGCAAAATTTACATAGGTGTCCCCTGCCCCCATGGACTCCTCACTTACCTATAAGAACACTGTTCTGGAAATGAGGGGAAAAAAAAAAGGCAGAAGGGAGTGTTGTTAAGTTTCAGCTCTGCACAACGGCACCTTTAACAGACCTGCCAACTAGTCAAAATCTAAATAGGGTGGTTTGAAAAAATCTTTATTACTGCCAGTTAATATTCACAGGACTCTGGAGGAACGAGAACTTTCAATGACTCAATATTTATAAATGCTACTGTTGTCCCACCAAAACTTATGTCAGATTCCTAAGAGATGCCGGGACCTTTTGCGATAATGAGGGTGAGGGTATGCATTTTAAATGGGGGAAAGAAGTTGTTAGGAAAACAAAATTTAACACCTATAAATGAGCGCTTGGTGGTCTTGAATTTGAATACTACTTGAATATGATCGACTTGTCTGGGTTTTAATTTTAATTTACCAATGTCTTGAACATACAAAAAACATTCAAAATGTACAACACTGATGACCAAGACAGGTTTTGTCTTTTTATTTGAACTTTTGCTATGTTATCTATGCAGATGCCAAAAAAGGATAAACTTCAAATTTGGGATATCGAAATGACTGAGTTGTGTTTACATCTCTGATGGTATAATCATAACTCTAAATGCTTGAGAAACAATAACATTAGTGAAGTGAAGTCAACTCTAAATTAAAAGTCAGTGTTTCCATTACCCACACTAACAGTATTTTCAGTTTATATAACTTGATCATTAAAAAGTGCTCTGGGCTGAAAACCTGGTCTGTGTCAATCTTGGACTAAATTAGTTTGCAAAGCTCTGAAGTTTGTTTGTTCTTCTCTTTTATCCTTTTTCAAGAATGTATTAATTTTAAATGCTACACATAAAACTAAACCAAAAAAATCTACAACACCTGATGAGCCAATGCGATTACAGGCATCACTAGTTTTTCAGAAGAAATTTATGATTTCTATAAACCCACCTTCAAGTTTCCTATGGCTGGAAGTAAAACACTCAAGTTTTTCTTTTTTCACTCAATCTTTCACATATCCCTTCTCTATTGGTTACTTCATCAAAAATACTGGAACTTGAAATTGGAACTATAACCTTTTGCAGAAATAAACTTCAAATTGGAATTTAACTTTATGGAAATAAAGTTTACTGTTATGACTTCTATTAAATTGACTCATAACAGAGTAGAGCTTTCATCTGGGGATAGCAAAAAAAAGGAAAGGGAAGATGTTATGTTAGATGCTGACATGTTCAAACTGTATTGCAGTATAGGATGACTGCAGAGGGCATTTGTGTATGAATAAAAACTGTCTTTGACAGAGACTTGGAAATATCAAAGCCCATATATTTAGGAGCGAGGTTAGGAGAGGCAGACCTAGCTCCTTAATACTGGTTGGGCAAGGAAGGCCTGGAAAGAGGCAGGTCAAGAGGCCAGCTGTGACTACACTTGAGATGACTACCTCCCTTCACCATCACCTCCCTTCACCACTCCCTTCTTCATGGTACTAGTAGAGGTCCCACCTGAAGTGTCCAGGTATTGTGACTTTTTGCCTGGGAAGAAGGAGCCAAAGCAAGAACAAATATGTGTGTGTGTGTGTGTGTGTGTGTGTGTGTGTGTATGTAAGCTTGCCTGTCTGTCTATACTCTGTGGAGGAGAACACAGAGTAACTACAGTTATAAATGCAGAGAAAAGAATGTTGCTTTAGGATTTCATATCATATTTTTATTTTGACATTTGTAGAATTATGGAAAATCATCAATTTGAACTAGAAACACTTAGACTCTTGTGAGTCAGAAGAGATCATAAATTTCACTTCCACCCTCCAGCCACCTTCCTATATTACTCAGCAACCTAAATTTTTTTGCAGACATGAATAAGTTACATATATATATATATATATAAACTCAAAATTTAAAAATCTGATAAGTTGTGATGCATCCTATAATGAAATATTTCTAATGATGAAGAACTCATCATTTTTGAAAAAGCCTTTTATCTGGATAACACCTTTAGTTATAAGATTCTTCCTTATGGTCCTGAGAGTACCTTATTAAGAAATATCCAAATGATTTTTGGTTAATAAGCACTGTATCATATAAGATAATACTACTACTAACATTATTGTTGCTAACATTTCTATTAAGTCCCAAAAGATGTGAACCTGGTGAAATATAATAAATGCTCTTTATCAAGATAACATAACCAAAGTACCCTTATTTAAACACTGTGTTTCATCAAGATTTTAATAATGGGATAACATGTGGTTTTTAATCAAACATTAAAATCGCATTTTAACAATTGAATATTATACAGCCAAGAAAAGGGTTAAAGTATTGATACATGCTACAACATTGACAAATCTTGAAAACTTTATGCTAAATTAAGGAAGTCATATACAAAAGTCATAGACTGTATAATTGCATATAGACAAAATGTCCTGAATAGACAAATCTAATACAGACAGAAAGTAGGTTAGTGGTTGCCTAGAGATGGCTGGGAAGGGAATGAGAAATAATTATTCATGGGCATGGAGTTTCCTTTGGGGGTGATGATAGTGCTTTGGAATTAGACAGTGGTGATAGCTGCACAACCTTTGAATATACTAAAAACTGCTGAACTGTGGCCAGGTGTGGTGGCTCACGCCTGTAATCCCAGCACTTTGGGAGGCCGAGGCAGGCGGATCACGAGGTCAGGAGATCGAGACCATACTGGCTAACACGGTGAAACAGTGTCTCTACTAAAAAACACAAAAAATAAAATAAAATAAATAGCTGGGCATGGTGGCAGGCACCTGTAGTCCCAGCTACTCAGGAGGCTGAGGCAGGAGAATGGTGTGAACCCGGGAGGCAGAGCTTGCAGTGAGCTGAGATTGTGCCACTGCACTCCAGCCTGGGTGACAGAGTGAGACTCCATCTCAAAAAAAAAACAAAAACAAAAACAACAAAAAAACTGCTGAACTGTATATTTTAAATGGGTGAATTTTATGGTGTGTGAATTATATTTCAATTTTTAGAAAACAACATACCTTAAAAATAGATCTTAAAAAATCGTCTTGATAGGCATTGTTATCAAAGGAACTCTGAAATCAATAAAATGGCTGGATTGAACACTAACTTTAGCTCTCTATCTAACAGTTATGCAGTGAGGGATAATAGTTTATGTATATAAATTTTACTAAAGGATTCCTCACTGTATTTAAATTAATACTGTTTGATCCACGAAGAATTTTGATTTCCTTTTTACTTTACAGGGAAAAGCAAGTTTGCTTGTACTTGTGCTTCTGAAAGGCCAGGAAATTTCAAACCCACAAATGGGTTCCTCAAAGAAAAACTGACAAGTTAAAACTGTTATTACAGTCTATTTCAAATATCTCAGGGTTTCTTTAGTTTAACTGAAAACATATGAATTGCTTTCACCTACTTGACTGCTTCTGTTTTTTCAAGTAACAATCACACATCCTACAAAAACTGAAGTATGATTTATTCAATGACAGGTAAATTTTCAAATGATAATACTATCTAGATAAAACATGTATACTGACTCTTTCAGATCATAACTTCAAAATATAAGGGGCTTAAGAGATACTGTTTCCCTATAAATACTAATAAAAAAAACCTTCCAATTCAGAAAAGAAACTACATGTGTCATTACATTTTTCCCATAAAAACATGAGAAATTTTAACATTGTTCTTTGTAATAGGATTAATGTCATAGTCATGTAATTTCATATAATATTATTCAACTTTTATATTCTATTCATCATGTTAGAAATTGTACCTTTTTTTTTTTTTACTCGCTGTAATGAAAGCTCCAAGGGCTGTCTGTAACTCTTGAATTTTAGGTTAAGCTCAATGAAAATGTCTTACATGCAGATAGGAGGTGATCTCCAATACATGCTGAAGAGTCATTCATAAACTTAATCTCATGATCCAATCTTCCATGGCAAAGCTTCTTTATATATATTTACACTGCATTGCCAAAGACCAAAAATTTCCATGAATTTTATAATTTAATTATTGCATAGATTTCTATGTGTGCGATGACACACAGCTTTATTATGCACGTATATAAAAGAAATAAAAGAAAACAATAAAAGAAAACACCATAATACTCACAGTTGTAGCCAGGTGCAATACGATGTTGAGCTTCAAGGCTCACCAACGTGATGTGGAAAATGATGTGCAGCAACAGGAAGGAAAGACTGATGAAGCACAGAGACTTTAATAACCGTCCCGTATGTCCTAAGGGATAAAAAGTGCAGAGATTGTGAGAGAGCTTAAGATGAAACACACTGGTGCTGTCTCTTGTACATATTTCTGTATAACCTATTAGATAGACCGACTCAAAAGTATATGGAATGTAATAATTATCATCTTAATTATTAGTCTATAGCTAAATGGTATCTTATTCCCTTTGTAACATCAAATATTTGGGTTTATATTTATTAAAAATTCACTGTAAAAGAAGGATAATTTCCTATTTATCATATGACACATTACAGTGGAACTACAAAAAGGTCCTGGACCAAAACATTTTACAAGGAAGTGCTGCCAACTTTGAAGGGACAGATAACTCCTGTCTTAGAAAAATAATTCTAGGAAGTACAAAAGGAAGAAAAGTTATCTAAAACATTTTATGAAGTCACAATAACTTTAATTTCAAAATCAAATAAGGCTAGAAAAGAAAATTATAACCCCATGTTACTCATAACATAGATATGAATTATTTTTTTTAAATGTGTTAACCAACTGAAATAGCATAGAAAAAATATAATACATAGGTTAAGGTTTATTATAGAAAAACCCTAAAAGTATAGTTAACATTAACAAATCAATAAGTATAATTCACACACTAGTGGGTTGCTATCATGGTTTTCTCAATTGGCACCAAAGAAATGTTTCATAAAGTTCAAAACCTAGTTATAATTTTTAAAAACATAAAAAAAAAGGAATGGAAGGAAACATCCTTAAAGGATTTATAATAAAGCAAACATCCTGTTTATAGTGGAATTTTAGACTTAGTCCCACCAGTATCAGAGAATGATCAAGGCCACTTGATATGAATGCCACTAATTAACATATCACTGGATGTACTGGTCAATGCCATAAGATAAGAGATACAATGAAGATTGTTAACTAGACTTATTTGCAGATAATATGATCAAATGGAATTATTTTCAGATTATATATCATCATCAACAGAGAACGCCAAACTAACTCCATGACCAACTATCAGAATATAAGAATTTAGAAAATGATTCAGATACAAAATCATCTTACAAAAATGAACATACCTCTTCATTAACAATAATCAAAAAGAAATAAGATGCAATTTTATTAGCAAAAAAATTGAAAAGGTTTTGTCAATGTGTCAATTTGGCTAGGCTGTAAATCACAGTTATTTAATCAAATACAAATCTAGGCACTGCTGTGAGTTTACAGATGTCATGAAAGTCCATAATCAAAGTGGTTAACTAAGGGAGACTATCCTCCATAACCTGGGAAGGCATGATTCAATCCACTAGAAGGCCAGAAAACTAGTCGGAGGTGTGTGTGTAAGTGAGAGAGAAGAAACTGTCACTTGTGGAGAGTAACTTTACCCTGTGCCCATGATGTTCTCTTCCTGACAGCCTGCACTACTGACTGTGAACTTCCTTAGCCAGCTTATATATCAATTGTGTAAGCCAATTCCTTGTAATAAATCATAGAGAAACATTAATCGTATATATATATGTGTATATATTATATATTAATAAAACACCTGTGGATACTGCTACACTTGTTGGACCTTGACTGATAATTTTTTTTAAAGTGTTATGTCATAGTTTCATTGACAGTTTTTTGTTCTTTCATAGTGACATATAAAATAATGGCATCTTATGTAACACATAATAGATATGAAATCCATAAAATATTAGCAAAATAGATCCATTAATATATGAAAAAGATAATATATTGTATCTAAGTTGGGTTTAATCCCAAAAATGCAAGATTGTTTTCACTTAAGAAATCAATTAATGTAATTCACCGTATTAGCAGATTAAAAGAGAAATAGCATTTGATCTTCTACCTAAGTGAAGAAAAAGGCTCTGAAGAAAATTCACCATCCAGGCATGATAATACTCATGGCTGACTAAGAATAGAAGAGAATCTCTTTAACCTAGTGTGATGGTTAATACTGAGTGTCAACTTGATTGGATTGAAGGATTCAAAATATTGTTCCTGAGCGTGTCTGTGAGAATGTTGCCAAACGAGAGATTAACATTTGAGTCAGTGACTGGGAGAGGCAGACCAACCATCAATCTGGGTGGGCACCATTTAATCAGCTGCCAATGTGGCTAGGATAAAAGCAGGCAGAGGAATGTGGAAGGACTAGACTGGCTAAGTCTTCTGGCCTCCATCTTTCTCCTGTGCTGGATGCTTCCTGCCCTTGAACATTAGTCTCCAAGTTCTGCAGCTTTTGGACTCCTGGACCCACACCAGTGGTTTGCCAGGGGCACTTGGGCCTTCAGCCACAGACTGAAGGCTGCACTGTCAGCTTCCCTACTTTTGAGGGTTTGAGACTGGGACTTCCTTCCTCCAAGCCCACAATCCAAATACCTCCCATCAGGCCCCACCTTTAGCATTGGGGGTCAAATTTCAACATGAGACCTGTTGAGATGTCAAACATCCAAACTGCATCAGTAGGCATATTTGTCTTTTCTTGATTTCAAAGAGAAAGCTTTCAAGAGTTCTATTATGCAAAATTTTGCAGCAGCTTTTTGCTTATTTGTTTGTAAATATCCATTACTAGGTGTATTCGGGTTCTCTAGAGGGACAGGACTAATAAGATAGATGCATATATCAAAGGGAGTTTATTAAGGAGTATTGACTCACACAGTCACAAGGTGATAAAAGTATTTAAGAATTAACCTAAAAAAGAATGCTTAAGACCGTTCTTGACAAAATTGTAAAAAAAAAATAGAAAAACAAATAATAGGTATAAATAAGTGAAGAGATCTGTTACATGCATGAATGAGGTGACTCAATATGATAAAAATGTCAATTTCCCCAAAATTTAGTCTAAAAATTCAGTACAGTTTAAAATAAAATGCCAGTAGAAACTTTTACACCTTTGACAAGTATATTTCAAAATATGTAAGAAAAGAATGCTTTGAAGAATTTCAACAAACATTTTAAAAATACATTTGGAAAAATAAGACTGAATTGCCATGTAAATTTTGAAATTTTGAAGAATACGATCGAAAGTGGGTGAGGTTGGTGTATCATAGCAGATATTAAAATATGTTATAAAACCATATGTTTATTTATTTTTTTTTTGAGACAGGGTCTCACTCTGTCACCCAGGCTGGAGTGAAGTGGCATGATGTCGGCTTACTGCAACTTCCACCTCCCAGGTTCAAGCGATTCTTGTGCCTCAGCCTTCTGAGTAGCTGGCATTACAGGCGTGCACTACCAAACCTGACTAATTTTTGTATTTTTGGTAGAGATGGGGTTTTGCCATGTTGGCCAGTTTGGTCTCAAACTCCTGACCTCAAGAGATCCGCCTGCCCCAGCCTCCCAAAGTGCTGGGATTACAGGAATGAGCCACCGTGCCTGGCCAAAACCATAAGTTTAAACAAACAGAAACTTATATTCCTTAGGGAGAGGAAAAGAAGTCAATTGGAATACCATATATTGCTCAGAAACATACCAGTTTATTTATATTAACTTGATAAATGTCAAAGCCAACTCTACAAATTGAGAGGAAAAAGGGCAGAAATGGTATCAGCAAGATGGCAGAATAGGAGGTTTTGGCTCTCATTTCCACAGAAACACCAATATTGGCAAGCACCCATGGACATGAATATTTTTGTGGGAGCCCCAGAATCTGGCTGAGTTTCCAGCCCTACTGTGGAACAAAAAACCCAAGAGTAAAAATATTAAAGAGGATAAGTAGTTTCACTTTACCAATGTCACCCCTCCCTCAAGGTGGCACAACTTGGTATCAACAGAGGCCTGATTGGCCTGCAATTTCTACTACTAGGGAAAGTGAGTGATGTGTGTGCCTAATTTTTGCGGTCTTGTGAAATGTTAGCTAGCTGGGAGGTCCTTTCTGTCTCACTTCACCCAGAGCACTGAAGGAATAAGCCTAGGAGCAGGGAGAAGAGAGTGCACAACAACTGGTGTCCAATTCTCTACAGCCAGTCACAGTCTCTACTAATCAGCTCATAGACTCCACCAAGAGACCCACCACTGAACCCCACAGGATGACTTGCCTGAGGACCCCCACAACCAACTGATGAACTTCCCCAGCACCCTGTGCCACCCTTTCCTATGGAAAGCACCTTGTACATCCCTGTGCATGGCCTGCACAAGCTCCTTCAGATAGCACACAGATCTCAACATGTACAAATATTAGCATCTGGCTTGACACTACTGGTGAGGGAGAAGGTATACAACGTTCAGTACTTCAGGGCATTGCCTTAGGGAATATAAATTGAATGCTATCAGTACCAGGCCTGGTTTTGTTGGATAGAGAGAAGGCACACAATCCTAAGATTTCTTTCTTAATAAGGAATAAGAAGAATGGAGCAGGTGCATCCATAGAAAAGTTCTGAGAGACTCCCAGAATCTCTAACCCGGTTCACTGGTGAAGATCCTTCTGGCCCAAAGCCAGTCAGTAAATACTGGAGAAGGTGACTACTTCTTCAAATTTTAAGACATCTTTTTAAAAATTCAAGAGAATGAATAATCAAAAAAAAAATTCAAAAATTCAAGAACATGAAGATTCAAGAAAATATGACATCACCAAAGGAACAAAATACAGCTCTAGTGGCTGACCCCAAAGAAATTAAGACTTACAAATTAGCTGACAAAGAATTCAAAATAGCCATCTTAAAGCTCAGTGAGCTACAAGGGAGTATAGATAAACTACTAAATTAAATTTTTAAAAATATATTAATAAAATGAGACATTCAACCATAAGAAACCAAAAGAAAGAACCAAACAAAAATTATGGAGCTAAAGAATACAATGACTTAACTGAAAAATTTAATGGAGAGTTTCAACAGCAAACTTGATCAAGCAGAATAACATCAAAGAACTCAAAGACAGATTATTTGAAATTATCCAGTAGAGGAACAAGCACACAAAAAAATAATAAAAAACGGTTTTTAAAATCCTATGGGACTTACAGGACACTATCAAGTGAACCCATATAAACACTGGTGTTTAAGAAGTAGTAGAGAAAAATAAAGGGGAAGAAAGCTTTCTTAATGATATAATGACAGAAAACTTTCCAACCCTGTAGAGTGAAACAAACATACAGATCCAGGAAGCCCAAAGGATTCTAAAGAGGTTGAGTAAAAAGAGGTCTTCATAGAAAAGCATTATGATCAAATTGTCAAATTCTAAAACAAAGAATTTTGAAAGCAGCAAGAGAAAAGCAACTTGTTACATACAAGGTTACCTTCAAAAGGCTATCAGTAGATTTCTCATCAGAACTCTTACAGACCAGGAGAGAGTGGGATAATATATTCAAAGTGCCAAAGAAAAAAATGTGCTAACCAAGAATACTATACCTGTCAAAGCTGTTCTCCAGAAATGAAGAACAAAGACTTTCCCAGAAAGGTAAAAGCTGGGAAATTTATAACCACTAGAACTGCCCTATAAGAAACGCAAAAGGGATTTCTTCAAAATGAAATTGAAAGACACTAATCAGCAACGTGAAAATATATGAAGGTATAAAACTCACTGGTAGAGATAAGTTCATTTTCAAAATCAGAATACCGTAATGGTGATATGTAAATCATATTGAACTCTAATATAAAAGTTAAAATACAAAAGTATTAAAAATAACTATAGTTAAAATAATTTGCTAATAGATATAAATAGAAAAGATGTAAATTGTGACTCTAATAAGAAAAAGCACATGGGAGTGAACAGGTAATTTTTGTATGTGATTGAAATCAAGTTGTTATTAACTTAAAACAGATTGTTTTGTGTGATCCAATATTCCCAATACCATTTATTGAAGAGACTTCCCTTTCCCCATTGTGTATTCTTGGAGCCCTTGTCAAAAATTAGCTGACCATACATGTATGGGTTAATTTCTCATGTCTGTATTCTATTCCATTGTTCTATTTGTCTGTTTTTTATGCCAGTAGCATGGTGTTTTAATTACTATAGCTTCGTAATACAATTTGAAATCAGGAAGTGTGATGCTTCCAGCTTTGTTCTTCCTGAAAAAGATTGTTTTAGCTATTTTGGGGTCTTTCATGGTTTGTTTTACATAAGACTCATGATAATTACAAAAGACAAACCTGTAGTCGATACACAAAAGATATAAAGGAATCAAAGCATACCACTACAAAAATCATCAAATCACAAAATAAGACAGGAAGAGAGAAAGAAGGGAGGAAAGAAATTACAGAACAGTCAGTAAATAATTAACAAAATGTCAATAATAGGTCCTTACCTGTCAATATTTACTTTAAATGTAAATGGGTTAACTGCTCCCATTAAAATATATAGGGTAGCCGAATGGATAAAAAAAAATCCAGCTATACACTGCCTACAAGGAACACACTTTATGGACACACATAGGCTGAAAATGGGATGGAAAAAGATATTTCTGCAATGAAAAGACAACAGGATTGGGTATTCTTGTATCAGACAAAATACACTTTAAGTCAAAAACTCACACAAAAGAAAACTTAGGAATACATAGCTTCACTGTTGAACTCTACCAAATATTTAAAGACGGACTAACAGCAATCCTTTTCAAACTCCTCCAAAAAGTTAAAGGGGAGGAAACACTTCCAAACTCATTCTATGAGTCCAGCATTGCCTTGATATCAATGACAGAAAAGAATTCTACTAGAAAAGAAAATTACAGGCCAATATCCCTGATGAACATAGAGGTAACAGTCCTCAACAATATACTAGCAAACTGAATTCAATGACACATTAAAAGGATTATATACCATAATCAAGTGGAATTTATCTCTGGATTGTAAGGATGATTCAACATACACAAATCTATAAATGTTATACACCACATTAACAGAACGAGTGATAAAAATCTCAATAGATGCAAAGAAAAGCATTTAGCAAAATTCAACATCTTTTCATAATGAAAACTTTCAACATATTAGATATAGAAGGAATGTACCTTAACACAACGAAAACCATATATTATAATACCACAGTTAACATCATACTCAAAGGTGAAAAGTTGAAAATTTTTCCTCTAACATCAGGAACAGTAGCACACTCTTGCTGCTTCTATTTGACATAGTATGGGAAGTACTAACCGGAACAGTTATGGTAGAGAAAGAAATAAAAGACATCTAAGTTGAAAAGGAAGATATTAAATTGTTCCTGTTTTTAGATAATATAATATTATGTTTTGAAAAACCTAAAAATCTACCAAAAAAACTATTAGAACTAATAAACTCAGTAAAACAGCAATTAACGAAATCAATGTATAAAAATCAACTGTGTTTCTATACACTGACAATAAGTTTTTCAGAAAAAAATAAACAAAACGACTTACAATAGCATCAAAAAGAACAAATACTTAGGTGTAAATTTGCCAAGGAGGTGAAAGATCTGTACATTGACTAGTATAAAACATTGTTGAAAGAAATTAAAACAAATACAAATAAATGAAAAATATATCCCATGTTCATGGACTGGAATAATTAATGTATTTAAGATGCCCATACTGCCAAAAGGAATCTACAGATTCAATGCAATATCTATCAAAATTCCAATGACATTTTTCACAGAAATAGAAAAAATTATCTTAACATATGTATGGAACCACAAAAGACCCCCAAATAGCTAAAGCAATCTTGAGGATAAGAACATAGCTGGAAGCATCACACTTTCTGATTTCAAATTATACTACAAAGCTATAGTAATTAAAACAGTATGATACTTACATAAAAACAGACACACAGAAAAATGGAACAGAGGAGAGACCTGAGAAGTTAACCCACAAATGTATAGCCATCTCATTTTTGACAAGGGCTCTTAAGAATACTCAGTGGGGAATGGATAGTCTCTTCAATAAACAGTATTGGGAAAATTGGATTACCATGTACAAAATAATAAAATTGGTCCCTTATCTTACACCATATACAAAAATCAACTCAAAATGTATTAAAAATATGAAATTACAAAACACCCAGGAGAAAACATAGGGAAAAGATTCCTTGACATTGGTTTTGGCAATGACTTTTTGGTTATAACACCAAAAGCACAGGCAACAGAAGCAAAAATAAGTGTAATTACATGAAATTTAACGACTTCTGCACAGCAAAAGAAACAATCCCTAAAATGAAAAAGTAATATAGGGAATTGGAGACAATACTTGTAAACCATATATCTGATAAGAGGTTAATATACAAAATATATAAAGAACAACTGAATAATGAAAAAACAAATAACCACATTAACAAAAAGGCAAAGGACCTGAATAGATATTTCTCCAAAGAATACATACAAAGAACTAGCAGATATACAAAGAACTGGTCGACATCACTAATTATGAAGGAAATGCAAAACAAAACCACAAGTTGAGATACCACCTCTGCTGTGGTCTGAATGTGACCCCCAAAATTCATATGTTGAAACTTAATTACCCAAGTGATAGTATTAAGAGGTGGAACCTTTAGGATGTGATCAAGACATGAGGGTTGAGCTCTCAGGTATAAGATTAGGGTCTCTATAAGTGTTGAGAAAATGTATTCATTCCCGTTCAGCCATTTTGCCATGTGAGGACACAGTGTCCATCCCCTCTGGAGGATGAAGCAACACAGTGCCATTTTGGAAGCAGAAAGACCAGGGTCTCACCAGACACCAAAGCTGAAGGCATGCTGATTTTGGACTTCCCACCCTCTGGAACTATGAGTAATAAATTTCTATTCTTTATAAATTATCCAGTCTGTGACATTTCGTTTAGCAGCACAAATGTATTAAGAAAGCCTCACACCTGTTAAGATGACTATTTTTGAAAAACAAAAGATAACAAGTGTTGGAGAGGGAAACATGGAGAAAAGAGAACTCTTATATACTGTTGGTGAAAATGTAACTTGGTAGCTCCATTATGAAAAATAGTATGGAGATTCTTAAAAATTAAAAATAGAACTGCTAAATAATCCCACTTCTGGGTATACATTCAAAATAACTGAAATCAGGATGTCAAAAACCTATCTGCACACCCATGTTTACTACAGCATTATGCAAAACAACCAAGATATGGAAACATCCTAAATGTCCACTGAAGGAATATTGGATAAGGAAATTGTGGCATATACATACATAGAATATTATTCATCCTTAACAAAGAAGGAAATCATGCCATTTGCAACAATATGACTAGACATGGAGGGAGGGCATTACGTTAAGTGAAATAAGCTAGACACAAACAAATACTACATGATCTCATGTATATGTGGAATCTAAAATAGCCTAACTTGTAGAAGCAGAGAGTAGAATGGTGGTTATAAGGGGCTGGGGGTGGAGAGCAGGGAAATGGGAGGCAATTGTCAAAAGGTACAAAGTTTCAGTTATGCAAGATAAAGAAGTTCTGAAGATCTACTATACAGCATAGTGATTATAGATAACAATACTGTATTGTACACTTAAAATTGCTACAAGGGAAGATCTTAAGAGATCTTACAAACAACAAAAACACTAATAATAATAAAGGAAGAGAGAGGAGACTTTGGAGGGTGGCAGATATGTTTATGGCTTTGATGGCGGCAATGATTTCATGGGTGTCTATCATCAAAACTCATTGAAATGTATACATTAATTGTACAGATTTTTCTATGAGAATCATACCTCAATAAATCAGTTTTAAAAAGAAAACAATAGGCTATCTAGAAGACAAACTAGATCAATACATATAGAAAAAAATAATACTGGATCCCTGCCACAAAAGTGGTCTCCAGATCAATAAAGACCTAAGTCTGAAAGATTAAATTCTAGAGTTAACAGATGAAAATATGAAATAATAACTGTGACTTTGGAGTGACGAGTGTGTTCTAAAGCAATACGCAAAAACATAAGCTCTAAGACAAAAAAAAAAGGAGAGATGGATTTGACTGCACGGAAACTGGAGATTCAACAAATGCCAACATAAATAATATTTACAGACAGATGAATAATTAGGGCATCTAAAATGTATATGAAATTAATATTTAGAATAGATAAGGAACTTCTGTGTGTCAACAAGAGGAAGAAAGGTCAACCCACAGAAATACGTGTAAAACATCTAAGTCAGCAGCTTACAAGGGAAAATCTGAGGGGGAAATATGTTTATACAGGGAAGCTAAAGCTATTGTAGATAAATTATAACTAAATCACAAATGAATGACATTTTACACCCCACAGATTAGAAAAAAATCATAATAGGGAGTTTTTGTAAAGAGAAACAACATACTGGTAGTAGAGTGAAATTGATACAGCCTTTCTGGAAGCCATTACTTAAGTATGCCTAATTCTCCGACCCAGTCATCACATTCCTAATTATAAACTCCAGATAAATTTTTACAGCAGGACTACATGGAGACGAATAATGACATTTACCACATTATTGTGTGTAGGAGCAGGGAATTGGAGATATACTAATTTTCCACTTCTGAAGAGATGAATATGTAAAAATGTGGTGAACATGTATCTTGAAATATTTTTAACAATTAGATGCATTAAGGCAGAACATCAAACAACATAGCTGGTGCTTGAAAAAATATTATGTTAAAATGGTAAGAAACAAAAGGAGACATAACACAAAATCATTTAGGTAAATTAAGGATATAATAACATGTATCTTACAAATATGTTTATGTATATTTTAAATGTGTGTGAGACACATTTGATTAATTTCATATGAGGAGATGGGAAATAGGAGTGAGAATTGGGTGTGAACAAATAAGAGTAACTAAATAAAATAAGACAAGCTCTTTGGTTAATCCTCTAATAAAGTTATTCTGTGAATAGAACAGTAAATTGCTTCAACTCTCTCCACTCAAAGCTGGAGAGGAGTAGATACATACTGAACATTCTGGGCCTTGGTCTGCCCCCGTCCATGCAGCTTTGGGGTATTAATCAGACAAGCCCCAAGCCCTTGAAACTAAAATTTTCATATGAAAGTTTACTTATAAGACAAATATATACATGATAATTTTATTATACATCTGTAGATTTATATGTTTATAAATGTTACATATTTACATAATGCCAAAGATATGTGCTCAATATATGTATATTATATAATTTTATATTTAAATATATACGTGTACACACACACACACCCCTATATAGAAGTTACATTATTTTTTTTTCTAATAATGATTTTTCTTCTTTAGACTATTAATGTAGTAAATAATATATATTGAATTTCAAATGTTGAAACTGCCTTGCATACCTGAAATAAATTACACCTGGTCTTGGTGAATAATTCTTTTTATGCTTTTTTAGATAAAGTTGACAATATTTTGTGAAAAATATTTGCAAGCCTGTTCATGAAAATATTAATCTGTAGAATGTGTAGATTTTATTTTTTGTAGTATATTTATCTGGTTTGGTATTAAGGTAATCTTAGTTAAGAAGTGTTTCCTCTGCTCTTATTTTCCGAGGAGATTGTAAAGAATTGATATTGTTTATTTATTAATTGTTTTATAGAATGCACCAGTAAAATCAACTATGCTTGGTACATTCTTTTTGTTTTTGGAAGGTTTTATACACACACACACACACACACACACACACACACACATACATACATATATACATATATATATACACACACACACACACACATTTTTTTTTCTTATACTTTAAGTTCTGGGGTACATGTACAGAATGTGCAGTTTTGTTACATAGGTATACATGTGCCATGGTGGTTTGCTGCATCCATCAACCTGTCACCTACATTAGGTATTTCTCCTAATGCTATCCCTCCCCTTGCCCCCCACCCCCCGACAGGCCCTGATGTGTGATGTTCCCCTCCCTGTGTCCATGTGTTCTCATTGTTCAACTCCTACTTACAAGTGAGAAGATGCAGTGCTTGGTTTTCTGTTCCTGCGTTGGTTTGCTGAGAATGATGGTTTCCAGCTTCATCCATGTCCCTGCAAAGGACATGAACTCATCCTTTTCTATGGCTGCATAGTATTCCATGGTGCATATGTCCACATTTTCTTTATCCAGCCTATCATTGATGGACGTTTGGGTTGGTTCCAAGTCTTTGTTATCGTGAATAGTGCTGCAATAATCTTACATGTGCCTGTATCTGTATACTAGAATGATTTATAATCCTTGGGGTATATACCTAGTAATGGGATTGCTGGGTCAAATGGTATTTCTAGTTCTAGATCCTTGAGGAATTGCCACACTGTCTTCCACAATGGTTGAACTAATTTACACTCCCACCAACAGTGTAAAAGTGTTCCTATTTCTCCACATCCTCTCTAGCATCTGTTGCTTCCTGACTTTTTAATGATAGCCATTCTAACCGGTGTGAGATGGTATCTCATTGTGGTTTTGATTTGCATTTCTCTAATGTCCAGTGATGATGAGCTTTTTTTCATATGTTCATTAGATGCATAAATGTCTTCTTTCTAGACGTGTCTGTTCATATCCTTTGCCCACTTTTTGATGGTGTTGTTTGTTTTTTTCTTGTAAATTTGTTTAAGCTCTTTGTAGATTCTGGATATTAGCCATTTGTCAGATGGATAGATTGCAAAAATTTTCTCCCATTCTGTAGGTTGCCTGTTCACTCTGATGATAGTTTCTTGTGCTGTGCAGGAGCTCTTCAGTTTACTTAGATCCCATTTGTCAATTTTGGCTTTTGTTGCCAATGCTTTTGGTGTTTTAGGCATAAAATCTTTGCCCATGCCTAGGTCCTGAATGGCACTGCCTAGGTTTTCTTCTAGGATTTTTATGGTTTTAGGTCTTATGTTTAAGTGCTTAATCCATCTTGAGTTAATTTTTGTACAAGGTGTAAGGAAGGGGTCCAGTTTCAGTTTTCTGCCTATGGCTAGCCAGTTTTCCCAACACCACTTATTAAAGACAGAATCCCTTCCCCATTGCTTGTTTATGTGAGGTTTGTCAAAGATCAGATGGTTGTAGATGTGTGTGATTTCTGAGGCCTCTGTCCTGTTCTATTGGTCTATATCTCTGTTTTGGTACCACTGCCATGCTGTTTTGGTTGTTGTAGCCTTGTAGTATAGTTTGAAGTCAGGTACCGTGATGCCTCCAGCTTTGTTCTTTTTGCTTAGGATTGCCTTGGCTATGCAGGCTCTATTTTGGTTCCATATGAAGTTTAAAGTAGTTTTTTTCCAATTCTGTGAAGAAAGTCAGTGGGAGCTTGATGGGGATAGCATTGAATCTATAAATTACTTTGGGCAGTATGGACATTTTCATGATATTGATTCTTCCTATCCATGAGCATGGAATGTTTTTCCATTTGTTTGTGTCCTCTCTTATTTCCTTGAGCAGTGGTTTATAGTTCTCCTTGAAGAGGTCTTCACATCCCTTGTAAGTTGTATTCCTAGGTATTTTATTCTCTTTGTAGCAGTTGTGAATGTGAATTCATTCATGATTTGGCTGTTTGTCTGTTATTGGTGTATAGGAATGCTTGTGATTTTTGCACATTGATTTTGTATCCTGAGACTTTGCTGAAGCTGCTTATCAGCTTAAGGAGATTTGGGGCTGAGACGATGGGGTTTTCTAAATATACGACCATGTCATCTGCAAACAGAGACACTTTGACTTCCTCTTTTCCTATTTGAATACGCTTTATTTCCTTCTCTTGCCTGATTGCCCTGGCCAGAACTTCCAATACTATGTTGAATAGGAGTGGTGAGAGAGTGCCGGTTTTCAAAGGGAATGCTTCCAGTTTTTGCCCATTCAGTATGATATTGCCTGTGGGCCTATCATAAACAGCTCTTATTATTTTGAGATGCGTTCTATTGATACCTAGTTTATTGAGAGTTTTTAGCATGAAGGGGTGTTGAATTTTGTTGAAAGCCTTTTCTGCATCTATTGAGATAATCATGTCGTTTTTGTCATTGGTTCTGTTTATGTGATAGATTACGTTTTTGTTGTTGTTGTTGTTGTTGTTGTTGTTTTGAGGCGGAGTCTCGCTCTGTGGCCCAGGCTGGAGTACAGTGGCACGATCTCGCCTCACTGCAACCTCCGCCTCCCGGGTTAACGCCATTCTCCTGCCTCAGCCTCCTGAGTAGCTGAGACTACAGGCGCCTCTCACAATGCCCGGCTAATTTTTCTGTATTTTTAGTAGAGACGGTGTTTCACCATGTTAGCCAGGATGGTCTCGATCTCCTGACTTCGTGATCTGCCCGCTTCGGCCTCCCAAAGTGCTGGGATTACAGGCGTGAGCCACCGCTCCTGGCCATGTCTCTGCTTTTTTTTTATTATTAATTTTAAAATTTTTCATTTCCATAGGTTTTGGGGAACAGGTGATATTTGGTTACACAAGTAAGTTCTTTGGTAGTTATTTGTGAGATTTTGGTGTACCCATCACCCAAGAAGTATACACTGAAGCCAATTTGTATGCTTTTATCCCTCGCCCCTTCCCACACTTTCCCCCTGCGTCCACAAAGTCTATTGTATCATTCTTTTGCCTTTGCATCTTACAGTTTAGCTTCCACTTATGAGTGAGAGCATGCGATATTTGGTTTTCCATTCCTAAATTACTTCATTTACAATAGTAGTCTCCAATCCCATCCCAGTTGCAGTGAATGCCATCAATTCATTCCCTTTTATGGCTGGGTAGTAGTCCATCACATATATGTTTCTTTATCCACTTGTTAATTGATGGACAATTCCCATTTTTGCAATTGCAAATTGTGCTGCTATAAACATGCATATGCAAGTATCTTTCTCGTACAATGACTTCTTTTCCTCTTAGTAGATATCCAGTAGTGGGATTATTGGATCAAATGGTAGTTCTACTTTTTGTTCTTTCTTTTTTTTTTTTTTTTTGATACTGAGTCTTGCTCTGTTGCTCTCTATTGCTCAGGCTGGAGTGCAGTGGTGTGATCTCGGCTCACTGCAACCTCCGCCTCCAGGGTTCAAGCAATTTTCCTGCCTCACCCTCCCAAGTAGCTGGGCTTACAGGTGCATGCCACCATGCCTAATTTTTTTTTGTATTTTTAGTAGAGACGGGGTTTCACCATGTTGGTCAGGCTGGTCTCAAACTCCTGACCTCGTGATCTACCCGCCTCAGCCTCCCAAAGTGCTGGGATTACAGGTGTGAGCCAGCACACCCAGCCTACTTTTCATTCTTTAAGGAACCTCTGTATTGTTTTCCACAGTGGTTGTACTAGTTTACATTTCCACCAGCAGTGTAGAATTGTTCCCTGTTTGCCAGGCACAGTAGCTCACGCCTGTAATCCCAGCACTTTGGGAGGCCAAAGCGGGCGGATCACCTGAGGTCAGAAGTTCAAGACCAGCCTGGCCAACAAGGTGAAACCCTGTCTCTACAAAAATTAGCCAGGTGTGATGGCAGGTGCCTTAGTCTCAGCTACTTGGGAGGCTGAGGCAGGAGAATTGCTTGAACCCGGGAGGCGGAGGTTGCAGATCTCAAAAGCCGAGATCGTGCCACTGCACTCCAGCCTGGGCAACAGAGTGAGACTCCGTCTCAAAAAAAAAAAAAAAAAAAGAAAAGCGTTCCCTGCTCATCATATCCATGCCAACATCTATTTTTTTTTAAATTTTTTGACTATGGCCATTCTTTCAGGAGTAAGGTGGTATCAAATTGTGATTTTGATTTGCATTTCCCTGATCGTTAGTGATGTTGAGCATTTTTTCATATGTTTGTTGGCCATCTGTATATCTTCTGAGAACTATCTATTCATGACTTTAACCCACTTTTGGATGGGATTGTTTGTTTTTTCTTGCTAATTTCTTTGAGTTTGTTGTAGATTCTGAATGAGTTCCTTTGTCGGATGTGTAGATTGTGAAGATTTTCTCCTACTCTGGGGGTTGTCTGTTCACTCTGCTGACTGTTGCTTTTGGTGTACAAAAGTTCTTTAGTTTCCACATAAAACTCTACTTTGGTGGTAAGAAATCAAGCTAAATGAGTTGATTACATTGTAGAGTGAGGAGAGGAAATTCTGAGAAGTTCACTTAAAATATTGAGATACCAGAAGTTCAATATCTCTGGGTCCACATTACACAAACCCATTCTGGAGAAAGTTATTTCCCAGTAGCCCAAGAGAAGTTTCCATTAAAACCTGTGCAACTGTTAACTGTCAGTCAAAGCTGTACCACGAAAAACCACACATCTCACATAGGCCTCTTTCCAGTGACTGTGTTCACCCCTGCCCTCCAGGGCTGTGGAGTTGCTGCCATGGGGCCACTATGCTGATTCTCTGCTTGCCCTGGACTCAGGACAGTTATTTTTGTTGACTTGAAAGCCTCAGGGCATACTGCTCACATGAATCTAGGGCTGAGAAGCCCATAAAATGCCCTCAGGAAAAACATGTGATTGCTATAAAAAAATGAAGCTTAAAGATCTAAAATGTCATAAAAGAAAACAAATAACTAAAATATCTTGTGTATTTCATTTTAAAATGCATTGTATTCATATTTTTCTACATTTTGAAACAATAGAGTTTGGGCAAGTAATCAGTTACTTAAACTAAAACTCAGCTTAATAAAATTGAATTTTATTAGCCTTTAAAACAAGCAAAAGTTTAAAATAAATGGAAGCATAAGAAAAGGAGAAATATCTTTTGATTTGTTCTCAATTCCACCGTAGTGTTTGTTGCTTTCACTGAAGAGAACAAGACCCTCAGAGACATTTTCTTAAGATCAGTTAAATAATGTTTATGTATGTGCTATAAACAAGTAGGTTTTATTTGTCAAGTATTCCCTTATAGTCAGATTTCTTGAGTGCAAATATGTATTAATTAAGGTGAAATTCACATAATAAAAAATAGATCATTTCAAGTTGAATAATTCAATGGCATTTAGTCCATTCACCATGTTGTGCAATTATTTGGAAGTAAATAACTTCCAAAACATTGTCGTCACTCCAAAAGCAGCCATTAAGCAGCTGCTCTCCATTCCCCCATCCCAACCCCTGGCAACTGTAAGTCAGCTTTCTGTCCCTATGGATTTTTCACATAAATGTAATCATACAGTATGTGGCCTTTTGTGTCTCACTTTTTTCACTTGGTATAATGTTTTCAAGGCTCATTCACCTTGTAGCATGTATCAGTACTTCATTCTTTTTATGGCTAAATATTATTCCATTGTATGCAGGGAATTTTTTTCATCCATTCACCTATTTGGGTTGTTTATACAGTTTAGCTACTGCTGCTGTGATCATGCACATACATGTATTTGTTTGAGTACCTGATTGCAATTATTTTATGTACATACTTTATATATCCAGTTGCAAAAGTGAACTGCTTCTGCTGCTTTGAAGGCCTCTAACTCTCCCATCCCAAATTTATATCTCTGACCAAAGGAGCTGTGGGGAGGGGTCCCAAGAACTAAAGATTAAAGGAAAAATCCTTATGAGAAGAGAGCAAGAAAAATTATCATCTAATTTGTTATAAATCAATAAGAGTCCCAGTGTTGCCCCAAATCATGCACTCATGGAACAGCCCTCAAAAAGCTTTGAGACCTGAACTGTGACATAAAGAACTGTCCAACTCCCAAACTGATAATTGAACGGTGCATGTTCAAGAGAGACCCAAATGTTATGGCAAAGGTTTTGAGAACTGAACTGACATTGGAACCACTACTCAGAGAGTGAGACAAAGCTTTCAGCCTGAGACCAACCAGATTGACTGCCTGCAAAAAAAAAAAAAAGAAAGAAAGAAAGAGACAATGAAAACTTAAACATTCTGCAGAAGATTTTAATATGACCCAGAGTCACATAACGTAATATTCAAAATGTCAAGGATATAATCCCAAATTATTTGATAAACAAAGAACCAGGAAAATCTGATCAATTATCAATAGAAAAGACAATCAACAGATGCCAACCCTGTAATTACACAACTGTTGAAGTTATTAGAAAATGATTTTAAACCAACCATTATAACCAGGCTCCATGATGTAAAAGTAAACCATGTTGAAATAAATATAAAGATAAACATTATCAGCAGAGAAATACAAACTACAAAAATTAATCAAATAAAAATATTAACAACAGAAAAAATACAACACTGTATCTGAAATTAAACATTCACCTAATGGTCTCAAGAGCAGAGTGGTAATGACAAAAAATGAGTTAGTAATGATGAAGAAATTAATAGAAATTACCCCATCTGAAGAACAGAGAGCAAAAGATTGAAAAAAGTTAATAAAACCTCAGAGACTTAAGGGACAAAATAAAAAGGTCTATCATTTGCATCATTAGAGTTATCAAAGGAGAGCAGAAAGATTGGTTCAGAAAAAAATTTGGATAATACAGTATTTTAACATTCCAGAAATTTGGTGAAGACATAATGTACACATTCAATAAGCTCAGCAAATCCTAAGTAGGATGAGCTCAAAGAAACCACTCCCAGATACATAACTAACCTGTTGAAAAACTAATATAACTAAAGAATGAAAACAGAGAAAAATGTCACATTATGTGTAGGGAGAAAACAATTTAAAGACCACATATTTTTCATCACAAACTATGAAGACTAGCATACAGTGGAACAATATCTTTAAATCTGCAAAAGAAAAGAATTATAAACTTAGAATTTTATACCCTGTGAAACTGTCCTTCAGGAATGAGGCAAAAAGAAAATATCCTCAGAGGAAGGAAAATTAACCTGCTATCAAAGCAATGCTAATGTAAGTTCTTCAGCCTGAAGGGAAATGGTACCAAAAAAACACGTGGAATTCATGAAATGAAGAAGAGCAACAGAAATGGATTAAAAAGATATTTGTTTACACACACACACATACACATACACACACACACACACACACACTCCTTAATTACAGTCTTGCTCCAGTTAATTCATGGAATTTCTAGAAAAAAATCTCTCTTTTTTGGATTTGGAAATACTTGGTGTGTACAGAAATAATTGAGGGTATTATGTTGCCCACGTGTTTTAACTAGGCACCTTCATTTATATAAGAAATATGAGTATATTTAAATCTGAATAATTCAAAGATGTGTCACCTAATAAATATCCACTCATAACTCATGCTAACTCCAAAATTATTTCCAAAAGTAACCCAGACAATAGATTTGCAAAATAAGTAATCTATGGCTATAATGGCATAATACCAAACTATACACTTATATACTATTTTTTCTGTGATTATTAGAATGCCAACAGAATAAATTTGATGTTAATATTAACTGAGAAAATTAACAATAAGGAAAGGAAGTAGAGTTTTTAAACAAATTTTAGCATGTTTTATTCATACATTTTATTTATTTCTGATATATTTTCTCAAATACAGCAAAAAAAAAAAAAAAAAAGAAAGATTGTCACTGCGTAGATTCCAGTCAGGAACTGGGATTTAAACAAACATTTAAATCTAATGCCTCATTTACTCTACTTCTGAAAGTAATTCAGAGGCTATTTCCTTAGCCAACATTTCCCATTCTGTAGCTTTCAATGATTTAAATGTGGCATGCAAATGTGGAGGATCCATGGTTCTTTGGAGTGTGCCAATTTTTGTAAACTAAGTTTGAAATTTTCCACTTAAGAAACAATCCACGCCAAAAAATGTCAGAAATTTTTAAAGGAGAACTCTGAGCCTCCTCAGTGGAAAGGCAACAGCAAAAAAAAAAAAAAAAATCAGTTTATAGATAAGTTAATGTATTGGATACCAAATCTGCGTAGAGTTTGAAGAGTTCTGTATTTCAAAGTCTTCTTCAGCTCACCTCCAAGTTGATATTTTGATCTTTTATTTACAGCTCAATTAGAAAAACCTAGTAAAAGCACAGTTGGTCCTCCATATCTGTGGACTCCATATCCAGTAGATTCAACCAACCATGGATGAAAAATATATTTTTTAGAAAGATGTTTTAGTCTGTGCTGAACATTCACAGACCTTTTCTTTTCTTGTCCTTATTCTCTAAAAGAGATAGTATGACAACCATTTGCATTGTATTTATATAGTTTTTTGTAATATAAATAATCTAGAGATTATTTAAAACATATGGGAGAACGAGCATGGGTTATAAGCAAATATTATGCCATTTTATATAAGACACTTGAGCACCCAAGGATTTCAGCATCTTGGGGGATACTGGAAGCAATCACCCATGAATACTAAGAGACAACTGTACTCTGCAGTTCATGCACTTGGACTACATTAGAAAAAATTTAGAAAAATTGTCTTAGAAAGCAAGTATTTATATTTAAAGAATTTCCCACAATTTTATGCTCCAGGTGGAACAAATAAAAAGCAAATTGATACATAAAACTGGGAATTTTCTTCTAAATTCTAAATGAGATTAAATACAAACACCTATGAGCTGGGAAGAATGTGCTGGGACTTCGAAATAAACTCAGAAGTCAACCTTGTAGGTTAAGTACATGAAGTTGCTAATACCTAACCATGTTGACTTATAAAAATGGCCATTTCACTGGTATCAAACTAATACAAATGAAGAGAAGGAACACATGTCTACTTTCTATTCCATTGGAAATCTCATTCAAGCACTCTTCAAAACCCAATTTTGCTAAAAGGAGTGAATCACAGGGAAGCACTCTGGGAACATCACAAAAGCAAATGGAAGAATGAATGATAGCATCATTTCCCCTCGAGTTCCTTCCACCTTCATATACTGGACTGAAAGTTTCCACTGCATGCCTTCAAGTGGGATATGGAATTCCCCACTGTGCCCCACCTCTAAATCCTTCCTTGCAAAAGCTCAATTTTCTATTTCCAATTTTGTATTGGCATATTACGGAGCCAAAAGAAAGTAGGTTTTTTCCTTTTCCCTCCCATTTGGAACTATCGTTTATTACCCTGGCTTTATATCCTATTATTTAATAACTTTTAAAGGGCTGTAAAATCTGAAAATGTACCTCACAATGAAACTGATATAATCAGAGAGGAAGACAGTGCTGCAGAGTATAGGGGAAGGATAGTTCAGGGACAAGGGAAGAGGACAGGGACCTGCCAGCATCACCAGTCGCCACTCCTTTCCTCCTTCTAAATGCATCTTCATGAGCAGGGCTCATTGCTTCTACAGCACAGTCCCCTGCACCCCTGAACCAAAGGGATCTCTTTCTGACTCCTACACCGCATGCTGTATCTGACATTTGGGTATGTGTACCTTGTAATATCAGTGTCTGTCCTAGGCTGGCTTACCAGGAAATGAGATTCTGAGATGGAGACTGAGTGCAGGATGTTTTTGGGGTGGCTCCCGGCAGGGACACCTATGGAGAGTTCTGGGAGCAGACTGAGGCAAAAGAGAAGCTGAACATGAGGCAGTGGCAGCAGAGCCCTCAGCCAGTTCTATAGGGAGCTCTGGAGCCCTCCAGAACTGTCTAGAATTGAGGGAAAGGTGCTGAGCCTCTGTACCCAAGCCCACCCCCAGCACTGACCAGAAATTAAACATGGGCTGTCCCCAGACATGAGTGTTACCTGGGCAAGACAGCTTCCTACAGTTAAAGGCAATTATTGGAAAGGAACTCAGCTGTTAGGAGTCATGAGTCAACCACCCCTGGAACCTGGAAGAATATGTGTCTTGGTCATGGAGGGGATTGTGTGTCATGCCACAGAGCCATTTTGGTCATCTTGATCTGGATATTGATTGTCCTCAAGCAGATGTAAGCCTCCTGAAGGCAGGGCTGCCGCTAGCATATGGTCTCCAGCTCAGAAGGTACTTTATGGCTTATGGTGGATTTTTATGCATGGGTCATCTGGCCACGATTTCCTCAGCAGCTAGTAGAGAAGGCCAAAAGTCAGCACATCTTGCTAGGCATGCACCACCGAAAAAGTTATTCCTCTAGGGAACTTCGAAGCAAACCAGTCACCCTGAGGCACAGTGAGAGTGCAAGTTCTTTCTGCTGTCGCTCTTCTTTGACCCTGCTAGAGATGACTTCACTGTCAGACAGTGAAAATCACGACTGTGATTATCCTCCAGTCCCCTATGTAGCTGTATTTTGTTATGTGTTGTGTGTGCACATTTTCCAGAAATCAGAAGTAAGGATTTGCTCTTCTAAAATCTTTTGTCAAGCAGGGTGTGGTGGCTCGTGCCTGTAATCTCAGCACTTTGGGAGGCTGAGGTGGGCGGATCATCTGAGGTCGGGAGTTCGAGACCAACCTGGCTAACATGGTAAAACCCTGTCTCTGCTAAAAATACAAAAATGGGCCATGCACAGTGGCTCACACCTGTAACCCCAGCCACTCGGGAGGCTGAGGCATGAGAATAGCTTGAACCCAGGAGGCAGAGGTTGCAGTGAGCTCAGATTGCACCACTGTACTCCAGCCTGGGTGATAGAGCGAGATTCAAAAAAGAAAAAGGAGAAAAAGGGAAGGAAGGAAGAAGGAAGGAAGGAAGGAAGGAAGGAAGGAAGGAAGGAAGGAAGAAAAAAAGACTTGGAAGGAGCCAAAACTTGCAGCAAAGTTGGAAATTCTAGATCTTCTACCTGTAAGGGCCAGAGAGTAGATATTTTAGGCTTTGTGAGACACATAGTCTCTGTTACAATGACTCAATTCTGCTACTGTAGCAAATAGCCATAGAAAATACATGGACGAATTAATAATGATTATAGTCCAATAAAACTTTAGTTATGGACACTAACATTTGAATTTCAGATAACTTTCATGCGCCACAAATAATTAATATTTTTCTCTTGATTTTTTCAACCATTTACATTCGCTCCTAGGTCATACAAAATACAGCAGTGAGTAGAGGCTGGTTCAGTCTATAGGCTGTAGTTTGCTGATCCCTGCTCTAGCTGGAGAAAGCATACTTCAGAGTAAAATTTTCATCAGTAAAAAGAAACCAAAAGGACTGTGTTTTGATATTCAAGAAATTCCCTAGGAGGCATTCCATTGATGATATCTGAGAGTCAGTCCTCACTTATGGGGAACAAACAAAGCACAGTGTTGACCCATTTGCAACACATCGTAAACACCAGCACTCACTGTGTGCATTCACAGGGCTCAGCTCCCTGGAGAAGACCCCACACACACTTTCACTTTCTCTAATTTCACCATTTCCAGAAGGAAAT
The DNA here is from genome assembly GCF_000001405.40 of Homo sapiens. Taxonomy (NCBI): domain Eukaryota; kingdom Metazoa; phylum Chordata; class Mammalia; order Primates; family Hominidae; genus Homo; species Homo sapiens. Next base: position 11,002,598 of record NC_000018.10, read on the forward strand.
TGGAAAAAATATCAGAGCTCAATTTGTAAAGATATGCCTAATATTCTTAATATTATGAGACAGTTGCTTTGTTGCAATGTTTTACTGGCGGCGGCGGGGAACACATTCAGGCAGAGATGTGTTAGTTCACACAGAACCCTGTGTAAGCACACAATTCCCTGCTAAAGTCTGAAAAGCTGAACTATGGAAAGCAGGCCACATTGGATAATCCAATTTCAAGCACCCCAATAAAATGGCTTTTCTCACACATTTTCATGGTCCTCCATGGGCAGGTTCAGCAGAGAACAGACCAATAGAAACATCCAATGGGGATGTAAAGAATTTTCTTTAGTAGAATCAGTTGATTAACCAGTGCCACTCAAACAGAGGAAGTGAGGCAAGAGGCGCTCCTGCTACCAGAGGCTTCCTCCTTGAATGACCAACATCCGTTGCATGAGGTCAAGGACAGCCTTAAGCACAAGGAGATTCTAACCTGGGAGATGTCCAGTGACATGTCTTTGCCGTGCCCTCCCAGGTCTTCCTCCAGCAGGCAGGATGGCACTTGGAGTCTGGGTGATGCAGTGAGGTTCCAGGACGTGTGTGGTATTAACTGTAGCACTAAGATAAGTTTCCATGTAAAACAGAAACCTCTGGTCTAGGATGTGTTTTCTTTTGTTGTTTGTTTGTTTTGTTTTGTTTTGTTTTGCCAATTCACTTAACAAACCACAGTAAATCCTCACTTATCATCAGTAGGCTCCTGGAAACTGCGGCTTTAAGCAAAACGATGTATAGCAAAAACAATTAAACCATAGTCGAGTTGATCTAAAGAAGAGTTAAATTCCTAAGGCATATTTCTGGTCACAAAAACATCACCAAACTTCTAAATAAGGACAAAACACTTCTATATTAAACACCTGAAATAAATGTGAACTACACATACATTTAAGAAAGATTAATAAAAGCAAGTCAGATAATAATTTACCCACTTATTCTAGTTCAGGGTTGCAGGGGGCTGGAGCTTAACCTGGAAGTTCAGGGCACCAGGCGGGCATCAGGCGGGCACCAGCCCTAGCCAGTACACCGTCCCATCTTGGGCACACTCACATACTAGCACACAGACTGGGACCATGTGGACACACCAATTTACCTAACATGTCCAGCTCTGGGACGTGGGAGGAAACCAGAGTACCTAGAAAAATCCCACACAGACCTGGGGAGAACAAGCAAACTCCACATGGGGGTGGACCTGGAAACAAAGTGATTTTTTCCCCTCATTGACATTGGAACAAAACAATATTCAACTACATTTTTCAGGGACCTGCTAAATAGGACTAATGGAAGAGAGTTAATAGTCACTATTTTTGTTGCTTTTACTTTGTTTTCTAACCCATGTTATGCCTTCCACAACTCTGACCCTAAACAAATGATGGTTTCCATGTTTTTCTGCAAAGGCCTGAGAAGGGGTAGGGAGTAAGTGTGGGCCTGCCTGCAGAAACTCCCTGACTGCAGACATTTTCTTTCTGCAGGAATTTCCTGTCCCATGCCCTGTTCGTTCCCAGGGATCTATGAGAAGCACATGGGTTAGAGGTGTGAGTAGTGACACCCCTGAGGACTGTGAGGGGGTCCAGGTGTACCATTCCTGAGTCCCCCTGGATGGAAATACTGCAGACTTCAGAGAGGAACAGAAGAGAGAGGAATTAATGTAGATATTTACCAGACACAACTTCCAAATTTCCAGATTGGGGGCTTGGCCCTACTCCATCTCTGATTCTGGGATTTCACACGTTTCTCAGACTGAATTGCTGCCCCCACAGCCCCCGCCCCATATTTCTTTCAAAGGACTACATATCAACCCATCTATCTCAGGGAGTAGCCATGTGGGAAGAAAAGGTATGAGTAATTTGTTTGATGATTCAGAACATGAAAAGTATGGTTTAATGTTCACACAGTTGCTCTCCACCCAGTTGCCTTAGGGAGTTAGTTTAGAACGGATAAGGAAGGGAGAAAACGCAAAATAAACCAATAATATACAAGAAATGGCTGCTTTGTTGATGAAGCTGTCAAAATCAGAAGGGAGATTCTTTTGTGAAGAAATGTTGAGGCCAATGGATCTCCTTGCTGAGAACTTCAGTGCTCTTGATAATCTATTGTTCAAAGGAGGAAAAAAGCATCCTACAAAAATGTGTAATTTCCTAAAGTGAATTGTCATGACATTCAACAAAATGCAGTTTTGTCAGAGAAGTCATTTCCATATGTTTCAGATAATTGATTTGTGCGTTTCCTACTGTGACCAGACTGTAAGCTTCTTGAGAGCAGGAGACAAGTGCCATGCCCCTCTGGACACTCCTGAGTGTCTAGCATGGGGCTTTGCACATAAGATGTGCCATTAAATATTGACTGAGAGGCTATCATAATAAATGCAAATCACAATAATGAAAAAAGGTGATCCCTATGTGATGATTTCAATATATGTTGGCAAGAACATTCCACTTCAAGCCAACAAGAAGTCCTCAGACTTCTTGTTATTTTATTCAGCCAGTGTGCCAAATTCTGTCCCAAGGGACCTACAAATGGTAATGAATGGGGGAAAAACAATTAGGCTATTGAGTCCATTCCCCTTCACATCAGGCTTCTTCCCTGTGGAGCATTCTTCCAGCAATTACCTAGAGATGTCTCCTGTACAGAGTTATCCTGCAATTCCTTTAGGAAAATAATAAATTTGACCCTGATACAAAGTTCCCACCATGCTACACTTCATTCTCTTGTGCCCAATATAACTTTGCGTTTGTCTTTTATTTTTTTCCTTTCACATATCTTTGGAAGAAATGTAGTTTAGCTTAACATGTATTGAGTATCAGGCATGAACAGTTACAGAAAGGACTTACTGCCTCTAGTTCACGCAGATTGAGGTTCAGAGCCTTGATCAAGGAGCGGTATCAGGGATGCTGGGGGCGTCATTACACACCTGAGAGGGTGCTCATAACAGACAGGTGTAGATTAGCGACTGCTAATGTGCTTCAGCCTGCTTCCCATCTTCCTCAAGCTCCTTCACTCATGCATTCCCAGTGGCGTGAGAGGCCCAGCTTAGCTGGCCGGGAGGAGGGACTTTTTGTGCTGTTATCTTCTTGTTTTTCCCACAAAGAACACACACCAGGTTACTATGACTAACTGCCTTGTGACCTGCTGTGTTTATTCTCCTTAACCCTGAACTGTGCTTTCATGCCCTGGAAGCCAGGCCAGGCAGCTGTCAGCCTGCATGGCCTTCTGTGTGTTGTTTGTATGTACACGCAAAGAGCAGTGACTCATCTACAAAGGGAGTCTCCAGTAAAAGGCTGAGATTATCCTCCACTTCTCGTTCCATCACATTTTAGGAAACAAACCTTCTTATGAATTTGTCTTCATTGCTATAATGATATTTTTTCATTTATCTATAAACTGGCAAGAAGACAATTCCATTTCTCTCGTTGGATCTTACATGCCTGTCTCTTTCCCTTGGCTCAGGTCTTGGAACAGATTTGGACCTCTCAGGAAGACCCCCGGTCATCCAAGCTAAAATGCGAACCATCTCCCCAACTGCTTTTTATCACAGTACCCTGTTTTGTACACTTCACCACTTCACTACTTGTAATTATCTTTTTTTAATTGCTTACTTTCTCAAATGTAAGTTTCACAGGTGCAAGGATTCTGTTTGTCTTGCTTTGTTACCACTGAATTCCCAATGCAAAGAAAAGGGCTTGGCAGGCAGCATACAATAAATATTGATTGAATAACTGAACGAATGAATGAAATATATCAGGTGAAGCTCATAAGTCATATGTTAATCAGCACAGCCTTGTGGCTTAAGATCTTAGGGAACACAATGTAAAATCTTTAGCTTTCATGGGGGCAAAAGGCTGAAGGAAGCAGAACATTAGTATATGGCAAAGAAGGGAACAAGCACTCTTTGCCTCCTCAGAGTTAAATTTATGGAGATCCAAACTTTACCTCGTATTGGTCTATTAGCTTTCCATTTACCCTCCCGCATCTGCTATGAAACACAGCAGCCAGCCCAAGGCTACAAATCCCTCCTTCCCATCATCTTCAAGTCTATTCAGTCCATTCTTTCCTTTCTTTCCTCCTCCCCTGCCTCCCTCCCTCATGCTCTTCCTCTTCCTTCCTTCTTTGGTATATGAATCTTCAGGTGCATCCCTTTCTGTCTTATCTATTATTTGACTATGAAGTATGTTCTTAGTAAAAAAATTATTCCCTAGTAGTCTAAAAAATGATCTTAAAGTATCCTTTTCATTATATTACCTATATATTTTTTATTTTTAATTATCATGGGTACATAATAGTTTGACATTTTTATCAAGCACGTGATATTTTGAAGCCAGCATACAATGTGTAATGATCAAATCAGGGTAACTGGGATATCTATCACATCAAACATTTATTAATTCTTTGAATTGGGAACATTTCAAAACTACTCCTCTATTTATTTTGAGGTATACAATAAATTATTGTTAACTATAGTCTCCTTATTTTGCTATCAAACACTAGATTTTATTCCTTCTATCTAACTGTATTTTTGTACCAGGGCTTCTATCATTTAGAAGATGAAAATGTGTGCTGAGATTTAAAAAGTATTCTCAAAAACAATGATGAATTGAATTCCCAGATTTAGTCATAACAGACTCACTTAAGGAAAGTTAATAAATATAGCTTTCATAAAGTAACATTTGTTAACGTAAATGCTTTAAGTCTCTTTTCTAGCATAAAATATAGGTTAAAGAAATCAAAATGCATAGATCTTCAGTGTACAATTCAATGAGTTTTAGCAAATGTATGCATATAGGGTTCCACCACGAGAATCAGGATCTGGAACATTTACATTACCCAGAAAGTTCCTCATATGCCTTTCACTCAGTCCTCAGCTCTTCCAGAGATTTAAGGATGTCAATAAGCCCTAAGTATCATAAGCACAAAGAAAAAAATCACTCGTAGATGCAGTATAGTCAAATTACTGAAAGTCTTAAGATGGAGAGAAAATTTTTAAAGAAGCCAGAGAAAAAGAATACATTAAGTAAGGGAGGACAATGAAAAGAATTGATGACTAAAATCATCGAAAACAATGGAAACCAGAAGATGTTGGAACGACAGGTAAGAATGCTGAACTGAGGGGGGTGGCAAAAAATTTCAACCAAAACTTCTGTATCTAGCAAAACTATCCTTTGAAAATGAAGGCAAATGTAAATATACTTTCAGACAAACAAAATCCAGAAGGATTTACAGCCAAAAGGAATGCTAAAAGTTCTTCAGGAAGGAAAACCACACTAAATAGTAACCCTGATCTACAGGAAGAAAAGAAGAGCACAGAAATGACAAATATGTGAATAAATATAAAACATGCGCCCCACCAGCTGAAGTCAGGCAGAGTCCTACTGGCTTCCAACCTCCTTCAAAGGGCACATCTTTCTCCTCACTTGACAAGCACTTCTGTATTTGACAAAAGTGCAATATATGTATATATGAGGAAAACATAAGCCTGGGAATCCTTTTACCAATTTTTTTCCCATCAATCACTTGGTGGGCAGCAAATTCATTGAATTTGGAAATGTCATCTTAGAAAGGAATCTTTTTGCTAAATTGTCTAGATACTGACCAAACTACCTTTGCCTCTGAGCCACAATTCATGTTCCAGCCACAGCAGCAGCCTCTGTGCTAATCATGCAAGATGCTTGTCTCTGCATTGAAAATAGGCCCATGACACCGTAGCACCAGTTACTGTCCAATCAAGATATATCAAAGCAAATCCCAAACATATGCCCTTGTCTTAATTAGTTCACACTGTCAGCTGCTAGTTAACCCTCAGGACGACCTAACTTCCTGGCCAACTGCACATGTCGTGGACCACCAACGACTTTCCCAGTTCCCAGATTGCTTGCCTGTGTGAGCCTGTCTTTGGCTATCCACTAGGCCCACTCTTGTTTAGTTCACTGGCTTCCAAAACATGACTCGGCTTCTGACCCTGGGTAACTGATGTCTCTGGACTTCTAGACCTGACTGTCTAGATTTCAAATTGCTTTTGTGGTCCAAAGTTCCATCTTCTGCATATCTATTTATCATTTCCTCATCCATTTTAACATTTGCTGACTGCATGCTATATGCCAGAATTATGTCAGGTGCTATGGTGACAGACGTAAACAACACCCAGTCCCTGCATTGGGAGCCCTCAAGTTTCAGAGGGGGTGACAGGCCAGCTAGGTGATTTAAGGGTAAGCGGGTGTTCTAAAGGCTTAAGTTTCCAAGAAGTGTGTGTTGTGCTATAGCAGCAATTAAAGATTATAAATATTTTGGAGTCCTCCTGACATCTATAATAATAAATCTTTCAGCTGATTAATTCAATAGGGGAAACAGACGTAGGAATCTTTTTATACAATAAAAATGGCATTTTTACTGACTTCTCATATTATCCTTTGTACTGTCTTGAAGATTGAATTCTGTTACTTAACTACGTACGTGATTGTGTTCAAATCCTTCAGAATCTCTGTGACCTACCCTCTTGCTTCATACAATTGGTGATTGTCTCAGGGTAGGAATCCTGGTAGGTTGCTCTTGCCACGTCACTGTTATTTGCCTGGGCAGTGTATCCCAAGGACTCTTATTAAATAATTTTCAATGAATTGCTGAGTCTCTGAAGAGTGCTGGGCTTCACAAGCCCTGATGTGCATTGAAGCCCCTTGGGAATCTTTAAGAATAGGATGGATGTCCAGACTCCACCCCTGGAAGTTCTGACCTCATTTTTCTGGGGTGGGGGCGAGATCATGGGTACACTGTAAAAGCTCCCTCGGTAATTCCACAGTGAGCCAGGGCTGAGAACCACTGTGCTGGAGATTCAGCTGAAGGGAGGTTGAGCCCAGCTCAGCTCATGGACTGGTTGAGGCGCGTGTGAGAGCAGCGTATGAGAGTAGCAGCACCTTTCTTCTTATTAAACATTTAAGTAAGTCTCACTTTTCCAAGATCATTACACTTCTTTGGTATCATACGAAGTAATAATATATGTGGGCACTATAAAGATAAATGTCTTGTTATGGGTTAAATCGTGTCCCCTTCATATGCTAAGTTCATATGTCAAAGTCCTAACACCCAGTACCTCTGAATGTGACTGTCTTTTGAGATAGGGCCTTTAAAGAGGTAATTCAGGTAGCACGAGGTCATAGAGGTGGGCCTAATCCAGTATGCCCGGTGTCCTTGTAAGAAGAGGAGAGTAGGACGCGGACAGGCACAGAAGGGAGACCGCATGGAGACACAAAGAGAAGACAGCCATCTGCGAGCCAAAGAGAGAGGCCTCAGGAGAAACCAAGCCTCAAGACACCTTGATCTCAAATATCCAGCCTCCAGAATGGTGAGATAATAAACGTCTGCTGTTGAAGCCACTCAGTTGATGGCATTTTGTTATAACAGCAAGAGTAAATGAATACGTACAGGCAATTGCATGAAAAGAAAAGCAGAACTGTGAAGGAGCTCCTGAAACCTCAAGATTTTCTTAACCAATAGATTCCTAATCAAAGACAGATTTCAAAATTCTGTGTATCTTTAGTTCAATAACCATGTACCAAACACCTACTAGGTACTGGTATTGTGCTAGATGCTATGGATAGCACCTGTCTTTGAGTAACACATAAACCAGAGGGAAATTAAAGCCCTTAAAGCATAATCACTCCATGCTTTGGGTTCCAAAGTTGTAAAATAGCACCATCCAAAATGCTGCCTGTATGCTCCACAGGGTCCCTGTGAGCAGATGCTGATTTAATGCACTCAACATGTTTTGAGAAGTGTAACGCACTGTACAAAACCTGGGAATGACAGACACCTAATCACACAATCCTCTAAGAGCCAAGTCTGACTCTGCAAACTCCACACGGGTCCACAACACCACTAGGAACAGAAATGAAACAACAAACCACGTCTGCACTGGAAGTGCACCTGACTGAGTCACTCATTGGAAGGGTGGGTACTGGTTAAGCTCCTTATTTATTCTCTAGTCCTGTTTTTTGTTTGTTTGTTTGTTTGTTTGCTTTGTGAAAAACTCACCAACTTGAAATGGGGGGCTCTGAGAAAATGGGATAGGCAAAGATATTCAGGAACATCCAGGGGTCATTAAATAATAAAAGAATCCGAGTATATCAAGCCATTACTTTGCCCTTCATGGCAACTTCCATGAGGACGAGGCCCATGTTTATTTGCACATATTTACATATTTAGCCCAGAGAATTACATGGCTCAGAGAGGAAGCCCAGTCAATATTTGTTAAAAGAATAATTATATTAGTGTATGCTTAACTTTCTAATGAATCTACTGCCTTTCAGCTTCCTTGCTAAATGTTAGATTAGTTTTTCAATGTGCTAAATTGATGTGTTCATGCGACATCAGTTCATTGTACATTTTCAAAGCACAAGTCCCCATGCTACGTGGTGTGAAAACACAAAGAAGGCATGGTTGGCCCTTAACCACTCTATAATTTGTTACAATCCAATCCTTCAGTCATAACACACAAATAGCCTCCTAAAGACTGCAATGGGACCTGGAAACTTTTTGAATATTTTGTCTTTCTTTGATATTTTAGTTTTCAGATAAAATCTTTTCTTTCCTTATTCAGTCATCTATTCAACAGAACTTATTTACATTTAATCTGTGTCCTACAATTGTATTTTTTAAAATAGTCTTAATTAAATTATATTGCCAATAATTAAAAAATGTGATGGCATAAAGTTTGCAAATATCAATATCAAACTAGTCTCTCTTTGTAATTAAAATCTACTATGCCGTGTTTGACTTTTATCTCTTATGTAAATTGAAGCCAAAATGCATGTTAATCCTTCTCCTTTGGTGTATATTTATGCTTAAAAATATTTAGTGTCTTCCCTCCCATGGCTAACATAGCTAATAATGTCCTTATTACCTCATGCAGTGTTCATATTTTAAAATGCTGGATAATATTGCTTTAATATTCTTAAATAGAATTGAGTAGAATCCTATTTTAAATAGAATATAATGCTTTACAATGCTCTTTTATATCTATTTTTCTATCATATTCATTTTTCTATCTCTTAACTGCTCTAACTTTCTAAAAAAGACCCACAACCTGGAGAACCCATTCCATTGCCTTAGAGGAAGTCTCCACCAAAAAGGCAGAGCTGCCCCTTGATGTTCAGTTCCCAAGGAAAATTAGTATTTTCCATAACTCTTGATATAGCTATGTTCCACCAGAACCACATGACCAGGTGCAGTGGCTCACGCCTCAAATTCCAGTACTTTGGGAGGCCAAGGTGGGAGGATCACTTGAGCCCAGGAGTTTAAGGCTGCAGCGAGCTATGATCACATAACTGCACTTCTGCCTCGGCAAGAGAGCAAGATCCTAATTCTAAAAAGAATTTTTAAAAATATAAACATCTGTAAAACCGAAGAAAGGTAGGTCACCAATGGTGTTTATTGTCTTATCCCTTTGCAAAAGCGAAAAAAAAAGTTTTAGGGGAGAATTTAGCAACTTGTGCCCTATCTTTGAAAGCAAAATTTGAAAGCAAAATATTTTCAAGGGTATATAAGACTGCATGATTGTTACTTATAGCTTTCAAAAATCATTTTAGCATCCTCTTTAAGTTCCATAAGTGCTCCATTATGACATCTAAATATCAGCTAAAGTATTTACCCAAAATGTCTGATGAGCAGCATTTTTTTCTCATGTACAATATTTCCATAAACTAAAGGAATACATTTAAAATAAGAAACTGATAATCTAAGTTCCAAGCATATAGGACACTTAGAGCAGTTTAATGTTGATCAAGTATCTAATCTCCACAAAGACAATGTAAGAAGCCCATTATAGTTTTCTGGATTCTAATAACTTTTAATCAAATTTAATTTCAATTTAACAATTACATAGATGTAAACACCTCTTTGGACAATTTAAATGTAAATGTCTGGTTTTCACTGTACGCTCTTGGGCACCAGCTCAGGTGCTGATTTCGATTGATTTTTTTTTAAACCCTCATTATGAGAATATGCAAATAAAAGCATCTTTAAACCAGAAACTAGGCAGCCATCCTTCTCTATCTACTAGTCTGTAAACCAATGTAACAGTTGATTTGACTTTACATTGGCACTGATTTTCAGGGCATTCTTTTAATATATTAAGTTATTCATTTAGGCCTAGCACAGGGGCTCATGCCTGTAATTCCAATACTTTGGGAGAGCCAAGGTGGAAAGATCACTTGAGCCCAGGAGTTCGAGGCCAGCCTGGACATCACAGTGAGACCAGTCTGTACAAAAAATTTAAAAATTAGCCAGGCATGATGGTGCACACCTGTGGTCTCAGGTACTTTGGAGGCTGAGGTGGGAGGATTGCTTGAGCCAGGGCAGTTAAGGCTGGAGTGAGCTGTGACTGCACTACCACACTCCACCCTGGGCAACAGAGTGAGACCCTGTCTCAAAAAAAAAGTTATTTATTCTAAAATTTTCACATCAAATATTTTATGTCTTCATTTATGTAATTCCCAGAACCTGTGAATATGTTACTTTACAATGCAAAAAGGACTTGGCAGATGTGATTAAGTTCATTATGTTGAGATTGAGAGATGATTGTGGACTACCGAAGCAGGCCCAATGAAATCTCAAGGGTATTTACATGAGAAAGAAGGAGGCAGGAGAGAGGTGGCCTTGTGGAGAAGACTAGACCAGTCATTGCTGGCTTTGAAGACAGAAGGGGCCAGGAACCAAGGAGGACAGCTGGCAGCTGGAAGGGGCAGCCTGCAGAAAGAAGTCCAGCCCTTGACTTTAGCTCATTTCAGACTCCTGACCCATAGAACTGTAAGATAATACATTTGTATTGTCTTAAGCCGCCAAGTTTGCAGTAATTTATTACACCAGCAATAGGAAAGTAATACAATAAAGATTTATCAACACTTGATCTTAATTTCACCGTTCTATCAACTCAAATAACTAATTCAAGGTCATCCACATACCAGAAACACATAAATTTTTAAACAATTTGGGAGGTTGTGGTAGAGCAGATGGACCAGCCGCTGCTCCTACCAGCATTCCTGTGCTCACTCCCTGGTGGTGAAAAATGAGATGCAACATTCTAATTCATTAGGAACATTTAGAGTCCACCTGGATGGTCTCATGTGAGACCTAATAAGAAACTAAATGGTCCTTTGATGTGGTGAGATGGGAAACTCAAACACCAGGAGATGCCCATTACAGAGGCTTTTAATGAGCTGGAGTGGTGCCCGAAGATTGTGCTGTTCTAATTCTTAAACGTGTCATTTCTCCTAAAGTAGAGGTCGTTCAAATACATAGTTCCAAAATCCTCAGTCAAGACATTACCGAGGGATACAAGACAGCTAATGAGACGTTAGAGACCTTGCAATGGGGCTGAAGAAACCGAGAAGAATGAAAAGGTAAAGGGATGGTTTGCTGGGTCATGAATGTAGACACTGTCCACCCCGTCCTCTGGGAAACCTGCAGCATCTGCTGAGCGTTACAGCTCTGAGGCACCTCCACTTGCTGTAGGAGCTAGGGAAGTTCAAATGACAGCAATCCAGGGCCCCCTCATTCCTTAGTGGCGGGCACGTCACCCTGGGTGGGACAGCGATCTAGGGCCCCCCTCATTCCTCAGTGGGGAACATGTCACCCTGGTGGGACAGCGATCCAAGGCCCTCTCATTCCTCAGTGGTAGGCACGTCACCCTGGGTGGGACAGCGATCCGGGGCTCCCTCATTCCTCAGTGGTGGGCACGTCACCCTGGACAGGACAGCAATCCAGGGCCCCTCATTCCTCAGTGTGGAGCACGTCACTCTGCGTGGGACAGCGATCCGGAGCCCCTCATTCCTCAGTGGGGAACATGTCACCCTGGGTGGGACAGCGATCCAGGGCCCCCCTCATTCCTCAGTGGTGGGCATTTCACCCTGTGTGGGACAGCGATCCAGAGCCCCTCATTCCTCAGTGGGGAACATGTCACCCTGGGTGGGAGAGCGATCCAGGGCCCCTCATTCCTCAGTGGGGAACACGTCACTCTGGGTGGGACAGCGATCCATGACCCCCTCATTCCTCAGTGGGGAACATGTCACCCTGGGCGGGACAGCGATCCAGGGCCCCCCTCATTCCTCACTGGTGGGCACTTCACCCTGTGTGGGACAGCAATCCGGGGCCCCCTCATTCCTCAGTGGGGAACATGTCACCCTGGGTGGGACAGCGATCCGGGGCCCCCTCATTCCTCAGTGGAGAACATGTCACCCTGGGTAAGACAGCGATCCAAGGCCCCCTCATTCCTCAGTGTGGGGAAGATGTCACCCTGGGTGGGACAGCGATCCGGGGCCCCCCTCATTCCTCAGCGGGGAACATGTCACCCTGGGTGGGACAGCAATCCAGGGCCCCCTCATTCCTCAGTGTGGGGAAGATGTCACCCTGGGCGGGACAGCGATCCATGACCCCCTCATTCCTCAGTGTGGGGAAGATGTCACCCTGGGCGGGACAGCGATCCGGGGCCCCCCTCATTCCTCAGCGGGGAACATGTCACCCTGGGTGAGACAGCGATCCATGACCCCCTCATTCCTCAGTGTGGGGAAGATGTCACCCTGGGCAGGACAGCAATCCGGGGCCCCCCTCATTCCTCAGTGTGGGGAAGATGTCACCCTGGGTGGGACAGCAATCCAGGGCCCCCTCATTCCTCAATGTGGGGCACTTCACCCAGATCCGGGGCCCCCTCACTCCTCAGTATGGGGCATGCCACCCTGGCTGGCTCTTCCTTCTGTCTTCCTTCTCTGTGTGCTTCACCAAACCTCCCTGATTTCATGGAGAGCTCAAAAGAGAATATTCTCTGGCAATAAAGATGGAAGTTAATGGTAATTAACTTACTCACATCTGCAAAGTCCTTTTTGCCCTATAAAATAATATGTTCACAAATTATGGAGATTAAATAAAATATTTAACCTGAAAATTTTAGAATATATCAATAATATCATGTTTTAAGAGAACGCCTTGATAATCAGTGCCAAGGTAAGGTCAAATCTAAAGGGGTGGGCCCCTTTCCTGCTGCATTTGCTGGGCTGGTTGACTGTGAGGGAAGGGACACATTTCTATGTACCCTAAGCTGCAGAACAGGAACGACTCTTGCAGCCCTGGTATTTATACTTAAGATCTGTTTATTTGCATAGTGCTCTATGGTAGACTCGAATTTCTTATGGAAAACAATAAACACGAACACACACAAAAAACCCTTTAAGGCTGACACTTTAAATCAAAACTGTTCACATGCACACATGTTCAACTTCATGTTTTAAATATTATTTTGAAAATGAAAACTTTCTAAACGTTTTTGTAAGGCTTCTTTGTTTCAATCACAATTTGCAAATCAACTGCACGTTAGTGAGAAATAGCTTGGGCAATCCTGGTGACATTCTCCCCTTTTCCTTGTTCTCCCTTTTCACCCTGGCCTCCTTCAGCCTCATTCTTCCTCCTTCTCCATTGCTCCTGTAGACCCAAACCAACAACAGCAGGACCTCTTATTAACCTCTGTTAATACCTCAATTTAGCAAATGTAATGAGTACTGTGGGTAAGAGGGAAGGAAATGAGCCCTTTGACATTCACTCTCTTTGAAACTGTCATCCCACAGGGAAAGAAACAGGCCAAGAGTGGCCAGAGTATGTAAGAGAATGGGATGACTGTGGGCAGAATCACAGGAGAGACACAGAATGTGGCGGTAGAGACGGTCAGAGCGAAAAAACAGGCACAGAGCAAGGACACAAGGCAACATCCAGAGGCAGAAAGGAGGCTGGAGGGCACTGACAACACAGAGGAACCAAAACCCAGACAATTCCCTTCAGGGGCCCCAGAGAGAAAGTGAACCCCTAGGAACCCCCTGCAAAGGGTGGGTATGAGGGGGGTCGGGTTAAGCGGCTTAACAAAGAGGTGTGCCCGAGAAATGCAATTAGTTCATCAAAAGTAAGTAACGAGTTACTCATTTAAACAAGTGATAACTCAAGGTAAAAAGAAAACAAATGCTGGGATTCTGAATACAATCCTAGAAAAGGCAAAACCAAAAATGCACAAAACAGGTACATGGTGTTGAAGAAATCATGTTTCATGATGAAAAACTCCATCAAATAATGTAATGTTTTTTCACTGGAGGCAAATTCCTTCCCAGTTTTCATCCCCATACATGTGGATTTGATATATTTATTTAGATTTTTCTTCTTAATGCTCTTGTTGGAAAAACTCCATCCTTTTGTTATTTCCTTCTCCCCTAATAATTGCTTTCTGCAATTGTTTATTTCATTATTTACTTGGTCCTGCTGATGTTTAAACATGGAGTTGGGAGAGACACTGACAAGCTGAGGGAAGTTCAGAGGAGAGCACAGGATTGAAGGGTCAGGGTTAGAAACAGTCTCAGGTGGAAGAACCAGGTACACCAGCCTGGAGAAAACCCTCATAAGAACGTGGTTCATGCATTCAAACATCTAAAAGAATTTCTAGGGACGAGGGATGAGACTTAACTTTGAGATTTTTCAAAGAACATAACTTGGACACGTTAATGAAGTCACAAAGATGTGTTTTTGACCTCTACGGTCAAAAATGTCTAATTGTCAAATGGATGGGTTGCCCTGGAAGTCCAACTGCTTCTTACATTACTGGAAGTGTTTTAGCAGAAATTAAGTGATATCTTATTAATGGTAATGTAGAAAACTTAAGCATTAAGAAGAGAGTTCTTCAAGACGTAACCTCTAATGTCCCTTACAATTCTGAAAATCCATGGGTTTTTTAATACTCTAAATAACCACAAATGACTTGCACCATAAAACATTTCATTACAATAAACACAATCTTTATGAAAGCATGAATGCCTTTTTTTTTTGAGATGCAGTTTTGCTTTTTTTTTTTTTACTGGGTATGTATAATATAATTTCTAACATAATATGTGCAGGTAATATCTATTTCAATCATTCCAGGGATGGAAATCAAGCTATAAAATTTCATACCCATTTATTTTCTCAGAGTTTATGGGTGTTGTACTGCAGAATGGTTCTTCTGTATAAAAGAAATCGTATGCCAAAAACAGGCATGCTCTTCCCTCTGCCTGGAACATTCTTCCTCAGGGTCTCCGCATTGATAGACTATTTTAATCCTCAGATGGAGACCTCTTCTTTTGAGCTCAGATTCATATCTTGATCTAAGTGCTTAGGCATTGTATTAGTTTCTTACGGCTGCTCTAACAATGTACTACAAACTGAGTGGCTTAAAACAACAGAAATGACTTCTAATCCCAGTGCATTGGGAGGTTAAGGTGGGAGGACAGCTTGAGCTCAGAAGTTCCAGGCCAGCCTGAGCAACACAGTGAGACCCTGTCTCTATTAAGTAATAATAATAATAATAACCAAACAAATAAAAAACAGAAATGTATTGCCTCACTGTTCTGGTGGCTAAAAGTCTGCAATTAAGGTGTCAGCAGGGCCCTGCTCCCCGAGAAGGCTTTAGTGTAGAATTGTTCCCTGCCCCTTCCAGCTTTGGGTAGTGGCCGGTCATCCACAGTGGTCCTTGCTTGCAGCTGCATTACTCCGGTTCCTGCCTCAGTCATCGCATGGTGGTGGTGGTGGTGGTGGTGGTGGTGGTGTGTGTGTGTGTGTGTGTGTGTTCTCTCTTCTTAAGACACAGGCATATTGAATTAATGGCCCACACTACTCCTTTTCTTAACTTGATTGCACCTGCAAAGACCATATTTCCAAATAAGGTCACATTCTGAGATCCTGGGGGTTAGGACTCCCAACATGTCGTGTGTGTGTGTGTGTGTGTGTGTGTGTGTGTGTGTGTGTGTGTGTGTGTGTTGAAATAAAGGAAGAACATGAGCTTGGATCAGACTTAACATATGATTCCTGATCTGTTGGCAGGAAGATTAATCAGAGTTTGACGTAATTGTGGTGTCTCATTTATGGCCAAATTGTGAATCCCGCTGAAGAATCGCCAGCAGCCACTGAACGGTGGGTGACACTACTGTGAACACACATGTATGCCTGGTGGGACAGCTTGCTCCTAATAAAGATATTTCTATTTTGTCTTGTCCATTTAATCTGACATCTATGATTAGGCAGAAGATGCATTATTGAGACAAGGAACAGAAATGATGTCTCCTTCCTTTTGGAACCCCATGAAGAGATCTCATTTTATTTTAAGGATGAGTGGATATGTGAGTCCACTCATACCCACATATCTTTTTGAGGTATACAATTCTACCCATAACAGATATCTCAACCACAACATGTCTAAAATGAATCTCTTAATTCTATCCCAAAACACTTCTTCACCTATTTTTCTCCACTTTAGTAAATGTCACCACAATCCATCACAGGTGTTTCGTGAGTGTGTGTGTGAGATCAACCCCAAAATTCAGGACGGAGCCTTGATTTTTTGTGCCCTTCATAGTCCACATCCAAGCCACCAGCAAACCCTGCTGGTTCTTACCTCCACGATGTAACTTACATCCAATCCAGCCCTTCTCCACTTTCCACTGATGTCTCCATTGACGTAGGTCCAAGGCTACCCCAATTCTACCTTGCACCACAGAAGGCAGCAGCCTTCTAAGGGTCCTCCCTGTTACTTTTCCTTCCTGATCATGAACTTTTCATATGGGAACCAGAGAGATCTTTTAAAGACATATGTCTTGTCACCTAATCCGCTACTTAAAATGCTTTAGGGCTTCTCCTAGACTGGAAAATAAAATCCTTTATGGTGTCTGCCAAGGCCCAGGCTGCCTACCTTTCCAACCTGGATATCAGTTCATCCCCTACCATTCACACTGGCATCCTTTTGGATCACTGGAACAGGTAACTCTTTCCTCTCATCTGGGAGCTTTTGTACTTTCTGGTGTGGTAAACTCATCTCCAATTCTCAGCATGACTGGCTGTTTTTCCCCCTTTATGTTTGCACTGAAGTGTCTCCTACTTAGAAAGGCCTTCCAGGACTCCTGCACGGAAGACAGTTTTCTAGTTTCTCTTGTGACCTATTGAATGGCCCCACTCTGGGCCCCCTTGTTGCAGTGTTTTATATTGATGCTCTTGTCATCCTCAGGCTGGACAGAGTGCACTTACCCCCCTACCCCAACACACAAGGGAGCAATAAAGGCTGATTTTTGTATGCCACTGAGATACTGTGATTGAGTGTTACAAAGCAGAAGGCAACTGATATACTCTATCTCATCATCTTGTTTGTTTTCTTAATAGTACTAATGACAATCTGTAATGAAATTATTGAATTGATTGTTTATTAGCTCTCACTACAGAATAACTCCATGGAGACAAGAGGCATATCAGCACCTTGTCTGTCTCCAGTACTGGAGGCTGTGCCGAGCACATGTACAATAAGTGTTTGTGTAATGAGTGCATGAACTCTCTTGGGGATGATTTTATCTATTCTTCTGACCCAATAAATCTTCTCTTTAAAAAAATTGTATATGAATTAAATTAGAAACTTAAGCTTCAATTTTCTAATTTTAAAAGTTTGGGATCTGGGGAGCGATTTTTAAAAAAATAGTCACACAATTCTTTCCTCAGCAAGAAAAGGCAACACAGAAGAGACCACTTTTAAAAGATGAGATTGTGACTTTTAATTATGTTTTATGCAATTCCATAGTTTGTAATACTTGACCTCAGCCCTTGTCTGTCTGATGGGGTCCATTAACATCTCAGAATCACTATCCTAGCTCAAAGCCTCTGATGCTCTTGCTGATTCCACAGTCTTCACAAAATGACTTCCTGCAATAACTTTTCTGCTTGCTTATACTGAATTGGCACCTGGGGTACAATTACTTCCTGTCATTAGTTCAAGGCAAAATGCAAAATTAGGTACTTCTGATTTGCACATTTGCAGACTAGTTGTTTTCCTGTCAATACCTGGCACTGATGGACTTTTACTGATGTATTTTTCTAGAAAAATAAACACTCACAGCTCTTGGGGCTGTGGACAAGATCATAGCAGCCAACTACTGTCTAAACTCCCCAGTAATTGCAGAGTAGTGTTCTGAAAATATGAAAATTACATGCCACTAGCCTTTTGCCAACCACTAAATAGAAGTTAAGTGGAAGGGACAGGCAAAATGACACCTTCTATTTCACAAAGTGAGCTCTTTATTTTTAAACAATTAGCTGGTCTCACTAAGCTAATCCTTTGCTGAAACCTGAAGCCTGGCAGAGAGCTTTCGGAATACTTGACATTCGTTGTTTTATAAGAAAGTTACTGTTCTGCTACTGTGCTCTTTCATCTTTCACTTAAAGTTATTTCTTAATTATCTTCCAAACTGAAAAACTCAAGAAGTAAACAACCCCTCTCCCCCATAAATCAAAGAAATATAGAAAGTGAAAGGTACAAAAAGCAGATGCAGCTTAAAAACTGTTCCACTGCCTTAAGTCGACATTCCTGCTCAGCAGAAAAGCACTAACCCTCATGGAGTCACTGTAGGAAGTGACTTGTCTGGAGCTAGGAAGACGGATGCAAACTCCAGGGGCCTCACAGGCCTGGACTATGATTCTCTTCCGTTACATCATGAAAGAAACTCTAGTCATCTCCACCGGTTCTCCAAACCACACCATCTCAACCAGCTCAAAGTTACAACCTAACTCAACAGTGCTAGTCACAGGTGTCAAGGAGACAGCTAATCTCCCTGGAAAGAACTCCCAAACCGGTTTTCCATGGACCCAAAGTCAGTGTGGTGTTCTTACTTCCTGTTTTCTAGTCTCCTCTATTCTGAAGAAAACATTTTCTTTTTCCTTCTACAAAAGCATCCCACTCTTGTATTCCATGCAACCTGCGTGTGTCTGAAACAATGTTTCCTTCTCTCCTCCTCCCCACTGCAAGGGCTCCATGAATGCTTTCTTGGTGGTAAGGATGCAAATTTGAGTTGAGTTTCTGAGCAGACTCTCCTGCTTCAGCCGCCAATGGCGTTTAGTCTCCTTGTGAATTCGTGAGGAGGAACACAGTCACCATCGTGAATGAAAACCACCAAGTGGGGTTCCTGGGGGACTTTGAGTCTCACGGATCTGGTGATCCAGCACACAGCTCGTGCTGTAACTGCACTGATGGAATGAATGAGAAAACCACGTCCCTCCCACCCATGCCTTCACAAGTTCATTCTATTCAATGTATGAGTCTGAGCACCTGCAGTGTGTGTGAGGCATCATCTAGACGCTGGGGGACTGCAGATGCAAACCAGGAAAATGCCCAGCTCTGCTGCAGTTCCATTCTTCTCCATCTTGATGGCAGAGTCCAGATGCTGCCTTTTCTCAATGGCATCCCTTGGACTTCCCTTTCCTAGTTGTTCCTAAATCCCTGTGCCCCTTGCAGAGTCACCACGTGTGAAGGGGATTTGCAGGGGGGTCTCTCAAGAACAAACCCCAGGCATACATCTGTGTCTGTAATCTCCTACAGCTGCCAGACCTGAAACACTTTGTAATCGATCTCTGCCTACTCTCACTCAAACAAACGGGCGCTGCCTAAAATAAGGACTACGAGAGGTAGGGGTATAGTGGATAGATGCTGCCAATGCCTCAGCCGGCATGCCATGGTCCCTAGAGGCTGCACCTTCTCATGCACATCCAGGTGCAGTGTCACAGCCCCCCTAACTGTGCAGGCCTGACCTTTGGAGTGGGTATGACAGTAGCAGAGCCTGTAAGGAAATTGCTTAGTTCTTGTTCTGAGAAAAAAAAAGTGAACTCAAAATAATTTACACTTGGAGCAAAATCAATATAAGATCAAGGCAGTGCAGGAAGCATGCACCCAGTTATCAGCCTGCTGGGGGCATGGTAGCAAAGCACTGCAGACTGGGAGGCTTCAGAAACAGACACTGATTGTCTCAGTTGTAAAGGCTAGAAGCCCACGATCAAGGTGCTGGCAGGATTGGTTTCTCCTGGGGCCTCTCTCCTTGGCTGGCAGATGGGCTCTCCTCTGGGTGCACACATCCTTGGTGTCTTCCTCCTCTTACAGGACCCCAGTGCTACTGGATTAGGGCTCTATGCTTATGGCTTCAGGTAACCTTAATCACCTCTTTAAAGGCCCTGTCTCCAAATACAGTCACATTGTGGGATGTCAACATATGAATTTAAGGGGGACAGAATTCAGTTCGTAAAAACTATAAAATACTATGACCTTACATGTGCATAGAACTCTAGGCTATTTTGTCCAGAATTGGTGGGTTCTTGGTCTCACTGACTTCGAGAATGAAGTCGCGGACCCTCGAGGTGAGTGTTACAGTTCTTAAAGGCGGTGTGTCCGGAGTTTGTTCCTTCTGATGTTCGGATGTGTTCAGAGTTTCTTCCTTCTGGTGGGTTCGTGGTCTCGCTGGCTCAGGAGTGAAGCTGCGCACCTTCGCAGCGAGTGTTACAGTTCTTAAGGCGGGGAGTCTGGAGTTGTTCATTCCTCCCAGTGGGTTCGTGGTCTCGTTGGCTTCAGGAGTGAAGCTGCAGACCCTTCGCCGTGAGTGTTACAGCTCATAAAGTCAGTGTGGACCCAAAGACTGAGCAGCAGCAAGATTTACTGCAAAGAGTGAAAGAACAAAGCTTCCACACTGTGGAAGGGGACCCGACCCAGTTGCCACTGCTGGCTCGGGCAGCCTGCTTTTATTCTCTTATCTGGCCCCACCCACAACCTGCTGATTGCTCCATTTTACAGAGAGCCGAGTGGTCTGTTTTGACAGGGTGCTGATTGGTGCATTTACAATCCCTGAGCTAGACACAAAGGTTCTCCACCTACCCACTAGATTAGCTAGATACAGAGGGTCCACACAAAGGTTCTCCAAGTCCCCACCAGAGTAGCTAGATACAGAGTGTGGATTGGTGCATTCACAAACCCTGAGCTAGACACAGCGTGCTGATTGGTGTGTTTACAAACCTTGAGCTAGATATGGAGTGCCGATTGGTGTATTTACAATCCCTTAGCTAGACATAAAGGTTCTCCAAGTCCCCACCAGAGTCAGGAGCCCAGCTGGCTTCACCCAGTGGATCCCGCACCGGGGCGGCAGGTGGAGCTGCCTGCCAGTCCCGTGCCGTGTGCCCACACTCCTCAGCCCTTGGGTGGTCCCTGTTCGGGCACTGTGGAGCAGGGGGCGGCGCTCGTCCGGGAGGCTAGGGCCGCACAGGAGCCCACGGAGTTGGGGGAGGCTCAGGCATGGTGGGCTGCAGGTCCCGAACCCTGCCCCGCTGGGAGGCAGCTAAGGCCCGGCGAGAATTCGAGCGCAGCGCCGGTGGGCCGGCACTGCTGGGGGACCCAGTACAGCCTCCGCAGCCGCTGGCCCGGGTGCTAAGCCCCTCATTGCCCGGGGCCGGCAGGACTGGCCGGCCGTTCTGAGTGCGGGGCCGCCGAGCCCACGCCCACCCGTAACTCCAGCTGGCCCGCAAGCCCCACGCGCAGCCCCAGTTCCCGCCTGCGCCTCTCCCTCCACACCTCCCCGCAAGCTGAGGGAGCTGGCTCCGGCCTTGGCCAGCCCAGAAAGGGGCTCCCACAGTGCAGCGGTGAGCTGAAGGGCTCCTCAAGCGCGGCCTGAGTGGGCGCCAAGGCCGCAGAGGCACCGAAAGCGAGCGAGGGTGCACACTGTCACCTCTCACTACGATAGTGCAAAGTACTGTTTGATTACAGAAATATCTGTACTTGGCTGAAAAAAAAATCAAGTAGGCCGGGCGCGGTGGTTCACGCCTGTAATCCCAGCACTCTGGGAGGCCGAGGCGAGCAGATCACAAGGTCAGGAGATCGAGACCATCCTGGGTAAGATAGTGAAACCCCACCTCTACTAAAAAATACAAAAAATTAGCCGGGCGTAGTGGCGGGCGCCTGTAGTCCCAGCTACTCAGGAGGCTGAGGCAGGAGAATGGTGTGAACCCGGGAGGCGGAGCTTGCAGTGAGCCGAGATCGCGCCACTGCACTCCAGCCTGGGCGACAGAGCGAGACTCTGTCTCAGAAAAAAAAAAAAAAAAGAAAAAAGAAAGTAAAAAGGAAAGAAAGGGAGAGGGGAAGGGAAGATAAAAAGATATAAGGTCTATTTAAGGTTTTGTTTTGTTTCGTTTTTTTGAGACGGAGTTTCACTCTTGTCACCCAGGCTGGAGTGCAATGGTGCAATCTCAGCTCACTGCAACCTTCGTCTCCTGGATTCAAGTGATTCTCGTCTCAGCCTCCTGAGTAGCTGGGATTATAGGCACCCGCCACCATACCTGGCTAATTTTTATATTTTTAGTAGAGATGGGGTTTCACCATGTTGACCAGGGGGGTCTCGAACTCCTGATCTTAGGTGATCTGCCCCCCGTGGCCTCCCAAAGTGCTGGAAATACAGGCATGAGCCACCGTGCCCAGCGAAGGTTTTTTTTTTTTTTAAATAATATTTATAACATGTGATTTTGGCCTCCCAAGTTGAATGTAGTACATAGCCTGCATGAGATGGAAGCGCATTTTACACGGAAGCATTTCTATAAGCGTCCTCTCTCTTGAGGGGTGGAGTGCACTGATTAGGAATGTAGGCTCTCAAGCCAAACTGCTTACATTCATCTCTGAGCCCCTTTACTTCAGAGTGATGAGCCTCAACACACTCTGCCCTGCTTCCTCATCCGGGAAATGGAGATGAAAATAACAATAGCCACTTCATTTGGGGTTACAATTAAAATATATAACCCTCTGGAAACAGTGTCTTTTACAAAGTGAGTCATTCATATATGTTTCTTGTTATTTTTGATCCTCACAAATCTGGTGATAGGTAAACGGGGCAGATAACCATATTTTTTGTTTGATGGGAAATGCTTAGTGTTTCCGTGAATTGCCTAGGGATGCAAAGCAAGTTCCTGGTGGGGACTGGGCCAGAATTCCAGCTTCCTGACTCCAAATGGTCTTCCCAGTTAGTGCAGAGCATACTTTGAATGGCGCCCTGGGCTTCAAAGGGCCCGGTGCACTAGCGATCCCATTCCATTATCCTGGCGATCTTCTCCTGGCAAGAGAACTCAGGAAACCCAGCTCCTCTGTGTCTCAGGACGGATGTGCTTTGTGCCTTTCTGGAATGAAAAGATTCTCTCTGTTTTTGACACAGACATTTCCTGAATGTTCAGTACAATGAGTAACGCCCTCAGGACACAGATAGGGGAAGAGGCCCCATCCTCGAAGTTACTCAGAGCCCATGGTGACAATTGTTCAGAAAATGAGAGCACCCCTCATCATTTTCTCTCCTGGTTGAGTGGCTGGGGAAGAACTTGCTTGCCCTGAGGTGGGTACTGCACAACTCTTGCTGAGTCAGTAGGTGTGGAAGAGGGAGTTCAGCTTAACTCCAGACTATAAGATCTGGGTTCCGCTGGGGGCAGCAGCAGCAAGCCCCAGGAATCACCTAATCCTCAGACTCAGCCTCCTGATCCTCAGGAGTCCCTTCTGAAGTCCCCTTTTCAGAGCTGCTCAGCACCATCACAAGTAGGAAGCGAAGATCATCCCTGAACTGGTAGTTCAGATCAGGAGCACGCATTGCTTTGCCGGTTTGCCAGGGCAGGCTGAACGGCGCCTTTACAAACATGCAATTGAGTTGCACCAGAGACCGCTGTCAATAGTCATGGTCAGCAAAGAAAAGAAGAGGTAGGTAGTTTGGAGTGGTTCTGGGTGCTTGTCTTCACATGTTTCACACATTATTTCTATTTTTATTAATATATTGAAATTGTAGTCGCATAGAGTCAGCTCCATAACCGAACAAGTACAAAGTGAGCCAGGGTAGAAACTCTGCTGGCCTCTCTGCCTCGCCCCCACCCTGCCTCAATCTCATCCACAGACACAAAGTTAGCCGTCTGCACCCTGACTGGTCCCTTCTGTGACTTCCCCGTTCCCGGAGTGGCTCCTCAGCACCACCTACACCCTCTTCTCATCCACGTCTCCACCACCTGTAACTCCTTGTCTTACACTTTCTAGGAAGCAATAAAAGAAAACGAAGCACCAGGTGCTGATGCCGATGCACTGTGCTCTTGCTGTTATTGGCCTATGCTCCGTATGGAAAGAGATACATATACTAAAGCATTGCACAGCCTTGCTGGGCTGCTCCCTCAGCCTGAATGCTCCCTCCACTGCCCTCTGTGAGGCTTATTCAGCCTTACCCTGAATTCCCAAGGGACCAAATGCTCAACTTGATTCCCTCAGCACCCTCTTCAAAACTGTATCACTTTTATCATGCATTATCGGTTAACAGATCTGTCACCCAATTAACCCATAAGTGGATTAGAACATGGACCAGATCACATTCATTTTTGTGTATTTAGCTCCTAGACAGGAAGAGGGAAAAAAGAGGCAAGAGTGTGGGACTGAACCACACAGGAAAAAGAGAAAAAGAAACAAATTAGCAATCTATCACATCACTTGAACTAATGGGAGCGCTCGTCTCCAAGCTCTGCACAGCACTTATGTGTATGAGACAAGACTCTGCCCAAAAGTATTTTATAAGCCAATTCATATGAAATGTCACAGAGCAGTCAATTCTAAACTGTGTAAGAATGAGTGTGTGCATAGCTACACTTATATGACAAACAGCGATTTGGACAAACTAAAGTAGGAGCCAGAATTCAAGGGGCTTGGGGATGGAATTTGAAGAGACCCCAGAATATGGGTAGAACCTGGAGAGAGGAAAGCAAACAGCATTTGTGGAAAAGGAACAGCATGAGCCGTGACCCCTGAGTTCTGAGCTCCAGTCAAGGTATAACCGGGCTCTGCTGGACCTGTGTGTGAATAAAGGAAGGACTGCGACTGTCAATTCACCAGTGAGGCAAGGCAGGAATTGCCTGGTCAGAGCAAAGGGGGCACGCTGAGGTGCGCTAGGAATAAGGTACAAGAGGTTAAAAAGAAAGCAATCAAATTGACAATGAAGCAGGAGATATAATCATTTAAAATTTAATTTTCAAGATGATATAGGTTTTGCATGAGAGTTATACCTAAAAGTCATCTGGAATAATCTTTAACTTCACAATTCATCTGTATGCTTCTGTTTGGTTTTAACTGTAGAAAATTTAATTTAAATAACTGTCTTAGGTAACTGGGTTGATGAACAAATGGGAGTTCGGTGGGGTTTAAGTTCCATTTGGGGTTGTCTTTCACAATTATGTTGTACAAATAAATGTAAAAATCATTAGCATTAACTGAAAATAGCCATTCACTCTAACTCCAGGATTCATAGTGATCTTGATCTATCATTTAGCGTTTCAGTTCAATACTGAAATTTCAGCTTATGACTTGGTAAGTGGTTTTTCCATTTGAGAGTTTCATGTTGTTTTGCTTTTAACAGCAAAGTAAGCTTAAAGAAACAATTGTTAAATATACTAGAAGAGCCTTCGTAGAGTACTCTTTGATAAATTCTTCAAACACTGTTTCTGAGAATGATCTCACAGAACAGGAAGACCTGCTATTATGATTAGTGCAGGGTAACCTGCCAAGTGTCCCTGTGGCTAGTCCAAGCACCGTCACAGAGGGACAAGCAGTAGCTGCTTCTGTTGCTAGATCTCAGTTCTCACTTTCTGATTTACATGGTGTGGCACCACGAGCTGCAAGTTCTACAAACTGTAACTTGGATTCTTCTTCCAGTACCAAATGCAAGTAAGGAAGCTAGGCTTTTCTGTACATCGCCTTCTTTCTTTTCTTTTCTTTTCTTCTTCTTCTTCTTTATTTTTTATTATTTTTTTTTATTTTTTGAGACAGAGTCACTTTGTTGCCCATGCTGGAGTGCAATGGCGTGATCTCGGCTCATTGCAACCTCTGCCTCCCAGGTTCAAGCAATTATCTTGCCTCAGCCTCCTGAGTAGCTGGAAGTACAGGCACGCACATCCACACCTGGGTAATTTTTGTATTTTTAGTAGAGACAGGGTTTCACCATGCTGGCCAGGCTGGTCCCGAACTCCTGACCTCAGATGATCCGCCAGCCTTGGACTCCCAAAGTGCTGGGATTACAGGTGTGAGCTACCGCACCCAGTCTATACGTGGCCATCTTATATGGTCATTGACACTGTCCTTCAGCTTTATCTGAACACCCCCATAACAATGTGTGACTAAGTGGAGTTGAGGACAGTAAAACTGTGCAGTATTAGGGATATATGTTTCCTTAGATAGATCCTCACATATTCTGGAAGGAGAAGAAAGTGAGAATCTGATCAGGTCTGAATAATACATGGCCAGCCAGCGTTGGCCATGGTGCTGTGCAGCTCATCAGGATTAGTCTTTCTTGTGCTTGGTACTCTATATAATACCTATTGACTCACTTCTTCAGCAAATATTCATCAATTGCCCTGTGCCAAAGAATACATTTGGTGTCATAGGAAACAGAGTTGAAAAAAAATTTAGATAAGATGGCATGGAACATTTTACCTTGCATCTAAACAACACCAGTTTTAAGCTGCACCGTCAGTTATTTAAATAGAAATTGAGGGGAACATCATGTTCGCTGTAAACATTTTGTTAACTCGTAATAGCAAAAAATTAATTGGGAATTACATTAACTTTTCACAATCACAGTTAAAATTTAGTGTAGGCCTTCTCCATATTCAATTTAAGAATGTATCTGAATTGTACTCACATGACATTCCCACTTGCCAGGTTCCCTGCCAACGCAAACACAACCTGTCCAAAAAGCAGCTCTGATTTTTCCTCCGTCACCCTTGCTCCAGACCCGGCTCCCCATTTCAACAAATGTCACCACCACTGTCCTGCTGCTAAAACTTGAAATAAAAGACTTTTCCTTAATTTCTCCCAGTGCCTCCCTACCACATTCCATATCAAATTCATCCGTAAGTTTTGTTGGGTTTTTCACCAAATTAGATGTTTGAAGTGTGCCCTTTTCTCTATCTCTGTATCTCTATGCTGATACTAGCTCCAACCCACTTCTGCAGACCCCTTAGGCGGCTCCCTCCTGCTACTCAGGCTCAGATGGATCTTTCAAACAAGCAAATTAGGCCATTCTATTCTCCTACTTAAAGTCTCTTAATGGTTCTCCACTCTACTTAGAGTAAAGGCTAAACCCTTTCACTATTTACAACTTCAGTGCTTCTCAGCCTCTGTCTGCTGGGGTAGTTCTTTCTTCCTTCATTCCTCCCCAGGCCAACGTTTTTTGTGTCTCAGGGCCTTTGCACTTACCATCCTCTCTGCCTTGAGGACCCCTCTCCCTCCCTGCCTCTGACTTCTTCATGTGGCTGCTCTTCCCTTTTCAGACAGGTCTTGTTGACCCCCTAGAAGGTGGACCCTTCCACCACTTGTTCCCTATACAGCCCCCTTAATTGTCTTCACAGCAGCTAACCCAACCAGTAATTCCACCATGGCCATGTTCCTTTTTTATCTTCTGCGTTCCCCACTGAACTGCAAGCTCTATGATTTGATCTGAACAACCTTCATCAGGTTGGAAATATTTTTTATCTCTTCTGAAAAATTAGGTAACTTTTACTCCCTTTAAGTAATATAAGAAGGCAGTACTCTGCATATACATCTTTTAATTTTAATGCTTCTCATACTATGATCTTTCTAAAGAATTTTAAAAGACAAGCTACCATCCTCATTCCAGCCACAAAGCCAACCCCTTATAGTGCTACTAATGGTAATAAACACAACTAAGGTGTCAAGTGTTTGAATAAACACTCGCTACTTATGGTCACATTCACAGGTGTGATGAAAATGACAACTATAGTGAAATTTATTCCTCAATTATAAGATGTTTTGTAATTTAAAAAATGCCAAAGTGAAGGTGTGGAATATCTGATAATCAAGAAAAGAGAGTATTGCTTTTTATTATTCTCTATAAAACCAAAGTTTGGAGACCATGTTTCATTAGTTATCTGTAAGGGTCCCTAGTACTCCCTAAGCCCACCCCCATCACTTAGTGATGAGAAAACTGAGGCCCAAAGGAGTGACTTGCCCAAGGTCAGACAACCTTGTAGTGGTTACGGGAAGGAGTGATTAGAAAGCTCTGGCATTTATTCACCATGATGTTGCTGTCAAGTTTTACTCTGTCCTCATTTCTGAAAGCCAAAACAATGTCAGCTTGGCTCGTGCTCCAGCGAAGAGTTAGAAACGCTGGTCCCTCGAGATATATGACAAGGACCCCAGGCCTCCATAGGGGACGGTGCTGCCCACTCTTAAGATTCCTGGCAAGACGTAGTCCAGGGCCAGGAGCATCCAAAAGAACTCACTCATTGAGACGGCAAAGTGCATCTATAAAAACAAGCACCTAGACAAAAAGCAAAGTTTATCTATAAAAACAAGCATCTAGACAAAAAGCATTTCACTTAATAATCCTATTTTTATTGACTCAGGTTTAGCACTAGTCTCTGCAAAATGTATTTATATGATTAGATTAGCAAGATTTGCAAAGCAATCTCGAGTAGTCCACTTCAATGCAATGAAGTTGCTTCTGGAATTTTGTTGTTGTTGTTGTTGAGACGGAGTCTTGCTCTGTTGCCCAGGCTGGAGTGCAGTGGCGTGATCTTGGCTCATTGCAAACGCCGCCTCCCGGGTTCACACCATTCTCCTGCCTCAGCCTCTCGAGTTTCTGGGACTACAGGCGCCTGCCACCATGCCTGGCTAATTTTTTTGTATTTTTTTTTTTTTTAGTGGAGATGGGATTTCACCGTGTTAGCCAGGATGGTCTCAATCTCCTGACCTCGTGATCCACCCACCTCAGCCTCCCAAAGTGCTGGGATTACAGGCGTGAGCCACTGCGCCTGGCCTGGAATTTTTTTTTAATAAGCCCATCAGGACCTTTCATAACCTTACAGTTGTCTCCCCAGAAAACACATTTCCTACGTCATTACTTTTGAAAGTATACTCCACTCTTAATTCTTACATTTTATACCAGAAAAAAAAATTAGTGAACACTACTAGAGTGTTTTCATTTTGGTTTAGTTATTTCTTCAAAATAGCTGAATTTTATAACACTGGAACTTATACTATTTGATATTTTAATATTCTTCACAGAGATGATATTCAAATTATGCTTTTAAAACATTTTTATAATTACCCAGGGGTAATATTCAATATATTTAACCACGAGTCTAACATAGACACCAGCTACTCATAACTAATGCTAGCATTCCAGGGCAGCATTCCGGAGGCTTCCAGAGGAGCCAGATATAACCCTTGGTTGCTCTTGGTACGACTTACCCTTGGTTGTAAGTTGATTCCATGGTCCCTGGGGCAAAAGTTGAGAACTGGGACATTAAGGTATGGGGCATGAGGTGTTGGCAAGCTCAGGGCAATGGCTATTTATTAATCTATTGGGTGTATTTTAATATTTTATAATCCATTTGGCTGCTGAATATTAGCCCAACCCTTTATTCTCACCATCACATTTCCAAGATACGAGACAAAACTCGTTCTCTCTCTGTCTTTCTCTGTTTCTCTCTGTCTCTCTCTCACACACATACGCATACACACAGATATTTACTGCTGATTCCAATGACGATGGCAATAAAGTAATGATGACAAGAGCTACCATTTTTCAGGACCTGCCATGTACCAAAGCGTGTGCTACATGGCCCCAATCATGCTATTTGAATTGAGTAACAAACTATGAAGTGAAATTCTGCTGAATGGCAAAAATGCAAAACCCAAATGAACACAGCAGCAGAGAGCCTTATGTCTCAACATTGATTCTCGGGTCTCCAGTGTGGTCCACAGGACAGAGGACAACATTTGGAACAAATGCAACTTAGTGGTATCTTAACTGGGTCAGAGATTTCTGCAAAGGAGTAAGTGACATTTACACCACTCCTGGACATTCATTTCCGTGTCTGCAGACAGAAGGTAATGGCATCTCTCCATTATATCCTTACTTCACCTGGGAATAACGATTTACTGAATTTCAGCTCTTGCTCTATTAGAATACGGAGCTATTCTTGGCATGCTCTCGAGTAAGTGTAAATGTGTTAGCCAGTCTGGCTGGCTATGGATGACGGGTGGGAATTCTGACTACCCTGGTCATAAGAGCACAGGGGCAAACACAACAAATACCTCTGGAGATTTTGAAATACAAAGGATAGGTTTGTGCCTTTCAAAAAGGCAGTATGTTCTGAGCAATAAGGCAAATGCATTTCAGTTTTAAAATGTTACTGTTCACAGTAGCAGAAATCTCTCTATGCATGTGTGTGTGTGAATATGTGCACACATACAGATGTAGAGTTTTCTAGACAAAGGACATGTTTCCCAACAACTGCCCTTAAAAGCTTTTGAAGTCAGATCGATAAGAACTCTTTTGGACCTCGCCTGTTTAAGTAGCCCACCCTAAGCATGTAACAGGCCTAATGAATGGAGTATCTGAGTAGCTCAGAAGACAGAGAGGAGAACATTGCTGAGGCCCTTCTAGCCATGGATAGCACTGGACTCACAGTCAAGGTAGATGAGAAATGAGTGAGGTTGGCTTCTGCCTCCCTCTCTTCCAGGGCAAGCGTACAGAGACAGAGTTCCAGGGTCTGGTGGCACCCAGATAATCCTTTTCTGACTGGTCATATACGGACAAGAGGAGAGAAACAATAATAGACAGCACCTTTTGAGCATTTACCGTGAGCCCAACACATTACGTCATTGAGTCCTCTCTACAACACACATGTGGGCACTGTTCTCTCCTTCATTTCACACATGAGGGGACTAAGACTGAGAGGCAAAGTGACTTACCTAAAGCCCTAAGGCTGGCCTATGGAGAAGGCAGGATCTGACTCTAACATCATTCCTGGCTGTAGACACTAGACCACCAGGACTTAGGGCAGGACTCCAGCCAGAGTGCAAGATCTCACTGGTGCAGGTTTCTCCTGCCCACCTAAGGCAGACACGCCCCTGGATTTGTGTGAACATTCTATCTGTCATGGATTTGTATTTAGACTGTGATTAATGTCAAAGTTAGCATAATGTTGATTTAGAGAAAGTGACATTTTGCCATGTTTTTTACAGAATTGCCTCCAAGACACACTTAAGGAACGCATTCCATGACACATGTTTGACTCCTGGAAAACTTCTCTGATGCTGAATGTCAAAATACTGCATTTCACTGAAAAAAGCTAGTCTGAAAACATAAACCATATAACGAGTCAGACATATATAGCACATGCCAGAAATGAAGCACTTTCTGTCATGTGAACCAGTCATACCAAGAGTATAAATATTGCTCTCAAAACAGTCGCTCTCGGAGGAAGTCAAAATTTGATTTAAAATTGGTATCCGACCGAACAAGCTTGGGATGCTCAACATAATGGAGTGCATAATCACGGACTGCTAAGAATGTGCAAAGCTGACAGTCACGTTTTTTCCTAACTTTCCACCAAAAATATTATCTTCAGACTTTACCGGGTTGGTTTATAACTTTAATACCTGAAAAACTTATACGAGCTAATGTTGTGCTGATTTGAAACTGAAGGGGAAAAAAACCCTCAGATTTAAAAAAAAATTCGACAGTCTTTAAAAGTCCAAAAGCTCTGGCTGGACTTCGTTAGTGGCCTCTTCTCACCCAATGCTGTGTGTGCGAATTCCCAAGGGACGCTAGTGCTCGTCGTACCTGTCTTTGTACACTTCTTCAATAAATTCTTATTGTGCTGCTCCTCTCTCCAAAATAGTTCAGTCAGAAGTTTTAATTTACTCCATTCTGACTGAAACAGAAGCAACGTTATTTTCTCTATTAAAAAATGGGTGAGAAGGAGGGAAGTCTATTTACTGATTAAATGTATCATTTCTTTTCTTTTCTTTTTTTTTTCTTTTTGGCGGCGTCTAGCTCTGTCGCCCAGGCTGGAGTGCAATGGTGCGATCTCGGCTCACTGCAAGCTCCGCCTCCCAGGTTCACGCCATTCTGCCTTAGCCTCCTGAGTAGCTGGGACTACAGGCGCCCGCCACCACGCCAGGCTAATTTTTTTGTATTTTTAGTAGAGATGGGGTTTCGCCGTGTTAGCCAGGATGGTCTCGATCTCCTGACCTCGTGATCTGCCCGCCTCGGCCTCCCAAAGTGCTGGGATTACAGGCGTGAGCCACGCGCCTGGCTAAATGTAACATTTCTTAGTCTTGTCTTCACTTAGTCTTATCCTCCTACCACTACCTATTAGTGGAACTAAAACAAACACGTAGGGTTTTGTGTGCGTAAAAAACTCTCCCAGAGGCTGGGTGCTGTGGCTGTAGTCCCAGCTACTCGGGAGACTGAGGCAGGAGAATCGCTTCAACCTGGGAGGTGGAGGTTGCAGTGAGCCAAGACCGCGCCATTGCACTCCAGCCTGGGCAACAGAGCGAGACTCCGTCTCAAACAAAAACAAACAAACAAACAAAAACCTCTCCCAGAATCAAGTATCCAGCACTCATAATCGTTTTAAAATTGTGTATCATGTGTTCACCAGATCCCAACTTCCTGACTGCCAGACAGGTTCCTTTTCCACCAACGTTAGGAATGAGTCAGAAGGTAACTCAAGGTCTTCTCAGCCTGCAGAGCAAAGCAGAAGCAACCCCAGTTCCCAAATGCATGGCAAGCTCATTCACTTTCGAAATCAATTTATTACAGAGTGTGTAGAAGGGGATGGAGCTGAGGGCTGCTTCTGACTCCTGAGATGGTTTGGATACTGTCCTCTCTCCAATTTCTTGTTGAAATGTGATCCCCAATATTGGACATGGGGCCTGGTGGGAGGTGTTTGGTCCCAGCAGTAATGAGAGAGTTCTTGCTCTGTTAGTTCACGGAGAGCTGGTTGTTTAAAAAGCCTGGCACCTTCTCTCTCTCTCCCTCTCTCTCTCTCTCTCTCTTTCTCTCTCTCTCATTCCCTCTCTCACCATGCAACAGGCTTGCCCCCTCCTTGCCTTCCACAATGAGTAAAAGCTTCCTGAGGTCTTGACCAGAAGAACGCCAGTGCCGTGCTTGCACAGCCTGCAGGACCATGAGTTAAATAAACCTGTTTCCTTTACATATCTCCCAGCCTCAGATATTCCTTTAGAGCAATGCAAAATGGGCTAACACAACTCCTCTTGCCAGCAGGGGACACATGCAATTTACTTGGCAGCTACCACACAAAGAGGATCTGCAGGCTAATTATCAGGAAATAGAAAAAACAGCAGAGACCTCTAATATGCATAGGAAGTCACTCTTATCCCTGAAGAATGGACACAGAGGGTTGGAAAGTGTGATTATGATGATGAAATTATTATTCCACAAAACTACCTCTGGGAAGATGAGCTAAACAGGTGCAGCACATATTTGTAAATAAGCCAACTCCTAAAATAATATGAAACTCTGACTCTTAAAGCCCATGGGTGTCTCCCCTAATGAACAGCAAATAATATCTGTACTCCAAATACTTGTCAGAGGAATGAACTCCAAATCTCTGCCACTTCCTATGTTTGCTTGTTAGCAAGAAGTCCACACCTGGAACATGCTTGAAGCACAGGTGCTCAGTTGGGGCACACCTTGGAGTCACCTGGGATCTGTCAATACAAGCAAGGCCTCTGTCCCTCATCCAGAGAATCTGACCTAATTAGAGGCCCAGGTCACAGTTCATAGGAGATTCTAATGTGCCTGCAGTACTGAGAACCCCTTGGCCTAAAGCAAATGAAGCCCTTTGTTCCCTTGGAGTTCCTAAATTGTATCTTATGCCTAAGGTAAGCAGGAAAATAGCTTTGGTTATTTTACTTGCTGAAGAGGTTATAAGAATGTGGTTTCACAGCATCTCACTGTGTCCTCTTCCTGGGAATGAATAAGCAGAATTGATTCCAAGCCATAACGTTAAGAATTGCTACACTGCTGAAAAACCTAATGTTTTTCATCTTAGGGACTCTGAATTCTGTACATAACTATTTCCCTCTTTGACTTGGCTGCTAAAACACTTGGAATTTCTGGCAACCCCACCTCCCCCGGTAAAGCTGCAAGACTTTGGGTATTAATTTTATCCCTGGATATATCTTTATTCGTATGCTGTGCTCTGTGTTATGCTGCATATATTTTTGTAAGCAACCTTACATTCTGTGGAATAAAATAAGATATAAATAAAGAAATCAAATATTTATATTTAATATAAAATATATACATATTTTATTTTATATAAACTCTGACAGACTTTTGCAGGCACTGAATAATTAAAACTGGTTTCACCAATGTAACCGATATGGCTCTACTGAGTTTGTGTTATGCGATAAATTTGGAGAAAGTATCATTAAAATCATAATAAAATTGAATTACTTTGATATCTCCTTGATACTGAATTATTCTCCTCATGGGTAAGTATCTGCATGCCAAACCAGGTCACACACTGACAGTTGTTATGTCCTGTGATTGAGAGTGATGTGTTAAAATCCCGTAATTATATTGCAATAGATATAAACTCCACGTGGACCCAGGCACTTCATACTTGCAGTCAGAATTTTTTTTTCTTATTTGTGTGCGTGTGTTTGCATGTGTGTGTGTGACAGAGCGAGACTCTGTCGCCCAGGTTGGAGTGCAATGGCACGATCTCGGCTCACTGCAACCTCCACCTCTGGGTTCAAGTGAGTCTCCTGGCTCAGCCTCCTGAGTAGCTGGGATTACAGACACCCACCACTGCACCTGGCTAATTTTTGTATTTTTGTAGTAGAGACGGGGTTTCACCATGTCGGCCAGTCAGAACTTTTTAAAGCATCCTTCGCCTCTAGCTTATAAAACAGAAAAGTACAGTATGGAATTCGTTTTGCAACACTTATTACAGAGAAAGTTATATGTTTACCCCAACAGTGTATTATCCCAACTTAAAAGATGTATCCTAGAAATTGTATGCCACGTAAGAGGAGAGAAGAAACAGAAATGAAAACGTTTATTGTTAATGTATTGGTCAGTTTGCAAACAAGCTAAACTAAAAAATAATTATTGAGCTCCAATTCTATGTTCTATGAAATAAATTGGAAGAAAAATACAATTCAGTTCAACACAATTCACACTTATTTTTTAAAATTCTGAGCAATTAGAGTAGATTGTAAGTCCTAAATTGTGAAATATGGACTTTATGTCCTATAGGGGTTCAGAAGAGAGAGATTATTATGGATTGGAATGAGAGGGAACTTCATAAAAGAAGCTAACCTACTCTGCCATTTCTGAAAGCACTCTCCCTGTTTCCAGCCCTCTTTCCAGAAGACCACTTTGCTGTTAAACACATATGAAATGACAGGCCTGTGACTCCGGCAGTCTGTTTGACTTGGTGCCTAACTGAAGAAAAACAAAGAAAAGCCTGCTGACCTTTGTGGATTTCTTCCAGAATTATGATTCTATGTCAAAGTAACAGGGGCTATAATATGCAAAGTTTTCTTAATGTTTCCATCCATATAGGTTTGTTAGGCACTTAAATAATTTCTGCAAACGAATTTTCCTTTCCAAGTTTGTCTCCATATCAAAAACACTTCTGGACCAAATAAGACTCTGAGTAAGAACCTGAATACCCCATTGCCACACACTTGTATGCATTTATGTCCACCTGGACTTCTGAGTTAAACAACAGTAGGTGAGATGTAAGATAAGAAGGAGGAAGTCACACTTGTTTTTCATTGGCTCAAAACATTGTAAAAGATACTCTGCACACTTTAAGAGAACTCTAGTAAAATTACAGTCTTTATAACCTTTCTCATTTTCTCTAGGTCCTAGTCACCAGAACCACTATACAGTAACACAGCCATAAAAATCATACCACCCGTTCACATATAATTCATCATATTCTGCTTGGATAATGTAAATTGCTTGCAAGAAAAAGCCACAAATCTTTAAACTGCTTAGCTGAGCAATATTATTTCTAAGTTGTATTTTCCTTCCTTAATTTTTAACTCAAACTTACTCAATGACAGGAAATTAAAAGGTAACCATTCCCATGCCAAGTGTAAGCCGGAGGCCCTTATTTAAGAATCTCCACCCATTCCAAAAGTTTTAGGTACAATGCAGTTTCTTGTGCTCATTCATCATTTTCCAACACCCATTGAGATATGGGAGGCAGTACTCCTCCTGCAAACCCCTGGATGAAGACTGAATGTATCTATGACCTGTGAACACCCCACAGTGCAGCTGAGGAGCAGCATGTAGTCAGGAAAGAGCATTCCATCAGAGCCCAGAAACGTGGCTTCCTCTACTGGCCCTACCACTTGCTTAATAAGTGTTCTTGGGTAAATTATGTATCTTCTCAACATTTCAATTTCTGCATTGATTAAATGTATAATACATGCATACATACAAATAAAATTAGCTCTATACAACCTATAGGTATAACGGTGAGACACAAATTAGATAACATATGAAACTTAAAAAATCTATAAAGGGCTATGCTTGAATTTTCCAATGTTTCCAACCTCTTTAAGATAAAAAAGAAGACAGTAAGAATCATGATTTTGAAACCACTGTAGCTTTGACTAGACATAGGTGGATAGGTGTTTGATATATCCTTACGCAAAATAACTGGGCAAAAGATATTGTTTAGGATATGTGTCTAATTCACAAAATTAGTCTTAACAACCAAGCTCAGGCAGTCTGTAAGATCCCAGGCTGAAAATAAAACAAAAGGGAACAGAAAGGAAGGGAAAGGAAAGAACAGAACGAATACAACCTCTATAGCTTAAAGTAATACATAGAAATTCATTAGCATGGTCTGCATGCATAAAATCCCTCCCGCAATGCTGGGCTCAACAAGCGATTGGGTGACAGCAGCACACTCTTTGCAGAAGATAACACACATGCATTGACTTTAATTTTGCAGACAAATGGAACATTCTGTAGGCAGAAAGGGGAAAAACAGACAAATGGAACATTCTATAGGCAGAAAGGGCGGAAAAAAG
This sequence comes from Homo sapiens, assembly GCF_000001405.40. Lineage (NCBI taxonomy): Eukaryota > Metazoa > Chordata > Mammalia > Primates > Hominidae > Homo > Homo sapiens. The sequence continues at coordinate 11,039,364 of NC_000018.10, forward strand.
CTATTGCAGGCTCCAAGATATTAGAGACATCGTTTGAACAGATTTCTTCTTAAACTAGCCTGCTTTGGCGAATGTTTTTATTATGCTCCATTTTCTGGTTTTACGTCACAGAACAGTGGTGCTCTCCTGTCAAACATTCAAGCAAATATCCTGAATACTCCTTTCTCACTCTCCTCTAACTGACATATATATAACTATATGTGTCATATAACTAACATATATATATGATCCACATGTAATAGATCCAACTTAAGAAGTGAGGTTATATAGGTCAATGGGATGACATATATTATCCTATATCTTTATTGGTTGATTGGATGATTATATATGTCATCCTATTAACCTATATAACTTCACTTCTTAAGTTGAATCTATTTTAAATAGGCACACACACACACACACACACACACACAAAATTTCTTCCCCTTTTCATCACCACTCTCAGAATTAAAAACTAGCAAAATAAGCTAAAATACTTGATATTTTAAGATCCCTTCAAGGATTTAGCTTCCTGATGCATTCTTACGAAAAGGAAATACAACTGCATTAACCTCTCCAACCCTCCCCACCCCGTATAGACACACAGACTCTGCTTTTTAAATGAGAGCTATACAAGTTGGAACAGCCTTGGATAAACTGTAGTCCAGAAAGTCAAATATACACCTCTACAGATGACATGAACCTGCTTTAACTTTTCAGGAAAAGCCTCAAAAATCATAGAGTTCTTGTTGGCTAAATACCATCTGAAAAAAAAAAAAGGCTTCATATCAGCTATGTCAAACCAAAATCAGAATTTTCAGTAGTTGCTCTTCAACAAGTCCAGAAGAAGTCCATTCTCTTCCCTTTTAGAACAATACATTTTAGCTATTTCTTCTATTATTATTATTGACACCTTACGCTTACTCCTTTAGCACTGTTTCTAAATATAACCTCAGAATTAAATTTTGAACTCCTTGAGTTTAGAGACATTATTTTATTTATTTTTCTTTATATCTTAAGTCCTAACTAAGAAAATATCCAATAAAGGTTGAGGAGGTAATGACTAAATTGATCAGAACATAATCAGGGTTTTAACTGTCATCTTCACTATTGATAAGTAAAGCAATTCTGTGGTATAATTAAATTAGCTACATAAGGGGATGTTTTGTTGCTGTTTTTGAACAATAGCACAGAAGTACTTGGCTGGGAATGTGAATGTTACGTAATTTTCAGGATTGTATCATTCATATAGAAAATACATATTCTAATATGATCTATGTACCTGCATATTAGGTGCATTTGTACCCAGAGTAGAGACGTCTCTTTCTGAAATCATTCCTCCTATCTTTTGGTCCTCGTCCCCATAATTATCCTCAATGTGGGCGAAAAAAGTGTATTTTGGTTTCACATTAAGTCAGTTCTTAGTGCCACTTTTCTTCCCAATAAATTTGATTTTCATGAAGTTGGATTCCATTAGTCTCCTTTCTGAAAAACATTCTTACTTTTTCACAATTCAAACCTCAAATAACACTTAAAATAAAAGATCAGTTAAAATTATTTTAATTTTTCTAGAAAAATTAGGAATGAGGCCAATTAAATGGGGTGAGTGGGAATGGTCCGAAAGTCCTTGAAATGCCACATTGAACTGTTTTCTACAAAACAGCTCCCTCTGGTGGAAGCAGAACCCTTTCTCTGGGTGAGACCAGGCACACAACCTGGAAAGTTAGGGCATCCTCTGAAAACGGACAGTCCAAGGCAGGTGGGAGAAAAGACGAATTCTAAAACCCGAACTATGAAATGGTTTGTCTTCAAATTAAACTGTTCTCATCACTGCCCAAAAGTTTTTGGAATAATCTGCCAGGGAACCCTAAACAGTCATGTATTAATATCTGCAAAATATGCAAAATTCAAAGTTCAGAGAAGCTGCCCTCCAGCTGCTAAGTAGATGGGACTACATAATTCACAAGTTCCCAAATTTAATCAAGAGCCCTAAGGATAAAGAGAAAGAGAAATTAAACACCGAGCTCAGAAGCTGTGAAAGTCTGTGCAGATTGGAGGAAAGAGTGGCCTTGGAAGTTCAGCCTCGAGTTCATGAATAGACAAAGGCATGATTTCAAAGCAAAAACAGCCCTATAGAATCCATCCTGTACTCCACACAGTCACTTTCATTGTTTGTAAAGGTCAGTGGGTTTTTATACTAAATAGCTGGAACTGAAGGACATCATGATGTTACTCATTGTTTATTTTACCATATTATCTCTCCACATCTGTGGTCTTTTGTGTTTACACTACATTTTTTCATCATTTTTCTACGATGTCAATTTGTATGGTTCTTCTTAATGTAAAAAAAATACAAACTATTGCTGCTTAACGACAACTTATAAAAATGTAAATGAATGTAAATGCTATACAAATTTGGAAAATTGAGTAAAACCCAACAAGGAACCTACTTACTACCTCTTTATTGAAATCTCCAGCAGAGTAACATCCATTCATTCAGTATCTATATTACCACTTAGGGCAAAATGCAGTGGCATTGAAAACTATCTCTAGGACTGAGCAGAAAGAGTGACAGTGACTCTTCTCCATGACTGCCATGCCCCAGGTATCTCTGTCTAGATGACCATCTTCTCTGAGCTCCTGGTTGGCTAGCGTCTTCTATCCATCATTTCTATTTCAGATTACTTGCTGAAGGCCAAATCATCTCTCTGGTAAAAATGCTGCCTCTCAGCAGTGTTCTGGGGAGAGACAATATGGAGTACCTTCTAGTCATCTCCTCTAAGGATGATCAAATATACTTTCATTGAGGTCACACAAGGAAAAGCCTGCCTCTGCCAATGAAAAACACTAAGAAATCCGCCTGTAAAGATGACTTCTCAGAGGACAGACCCTGGATCTGAGATCTAGCCCTCGTCCCCACAGTCTCAGGAGGAGGGCTGCTATGAGGAGCCAGGAGCAGCTGTCACAGCTCAGTCACACAGGGTCAGATCCCACCCCACCCACGCAGGCCTGCAGGCTGGGGATGGCCATGTGCACTTCATACACACAGTCCTCTCTGACCCTTGTGTGGCCACATTTTAGATAGCTAGTGTGGGAAGAGGAAGTTTGACTACTTCATCAATCAAAACAGTGAATGAATAAACATCACCAGTGACCAGTGTCGGTTTCTTGTCTGCAAAACAATGATGCCCTGAGATAATGCTGTCTGAGCTAGACTCGCTGTGGTGGGAGGCAGGGTGGAAAGCTGAGGTTAGAGAACAGGGTGACCTGTCCACAGATGTGGACTCTTTCCATCCTACATGCTACTGCATCTCAGTGCCTGAGAGGAGGCTACCCATTAGAAAGGCAATCGTCATTGTCACCAGATGGGCATGCTTGGTCTCAGATTTGCTCAGATGTCATACACCTTTGGGGGGCAGGAAAAGAAATGCCAGAAATAAAATCCATAGCACATTAAGTAGATTGTAAAATGTCAGTATGTAACTCAAGCTAATAAAATAATTCAGGGATGCTAATCAACCTTCCAAGTTGAATTAAATTTATGGTTAAATGAGATACAGAAAATACTTCTTCAAAGAAGAATCTGAGGATAATTATTGGTTTTATCAGTAATTTGGTTCTAAAGACAAAAATATATTATCCAAAAAAATTGTTTGGCCATAGAAAGGAGGGGTACTCCAGATACAAGTCTAATTGGCTAACCATAATCCCAGCCTGATCAAATTTCTAGTATGTTTTGTTGTTAACGTATGATGTCTGTATAAATGAACACTTGGTAGAGTAGATCAACTTTTGCATTAAATTGAAGACTGGAGTCTACAAATGCTTATCTTATGGAGCCCAAACTGAGCCAAGCAAATGGTGATTTGAAAAAAGAGGAAATATCTCCTCCCTTTAAACGCACACACACACACACACACACACACACACTCACAGAACATATATGTATGATTATTAGGGTTACCAGATTAGACAATAAAATACAGCACATACATTTAAATTTCAACTTCAAATACAAATGAATAATTCAATATTTTGGTATAAATGTCCCACGTATTAGTATGCTAAAAATTACTTGTTGTATGTCTGAAATTCAAACAATTTATCTGGCAATCATAACTACAACACAAACACATGTAATAACAGGTGTGTGTAGACTGTAGTAATTTTTATGTTAATTTTGGAGATTTTTTCTCTGTAGGAGAGAGAGAGGTTGAGAGAGCAAGAGAGAGACAACAAATCTATCAGTATAACAAGAACTGAGAGTAAGAAAAGAATCATGAAATCTACTGGAAAAAAGTATCCATATTATCCCTAAACACATATACTTCCCAAAATACACAGAGAGCTTACTGATTTTTTTTTTTCTTGAGACCGAGTCTTGCTCTGTTGCCCAGGCTCATTGCAACCTCCGCCTCCCGGGTTCAAGCAATTCTTCTGCCTCAGCCTCCTGAGTAGCTGAGACCATAGGCACGTGCCATCATGCCTGGCTGATTTTTTTGTATTTTTAGTAGAGACAGGGGGTTTCGTCATGTTTGCCCGGCTGGTCATGAACTCCTGACCTCAGGTGATCCACCTGCCTTGGCCTCCAAAAGTGCAGGGATTACAGGTTGAGCCACCGTGTCTGGCTGGTATTTTTAAAAAGAATACCATTGTAAGTAAAAATGATCTTATCAGTATGTTAGTACTGACATTTCCCAAGATTTATGCTATTATTCCTTTCATGCATTTTAATAAAGTAGGATACTTTAGAATCCAAAATTGAGATAAAAAAATTTTGAGGAAAATTTTCTTTGTGTTTGTGTATACTAATATACTATATATATATATACACACACACACTAATATAATATATATTATACATAAAATATATATTTAAATAATACTACCTCAGGAAATTGTTGTATTATAACAAATAAAGTCTTTTCAAAATGTGGAAACAAATATTATTAATAATAACTTAAGCATTGAAAATAAAACACAAGTACAAGTTTCTTTCACACCCGCTTCTTTGCACCTGTAAGGATAACACTCAACTAACACAGTACGGCACTTTGAGATGCAGACTGAGTCTTAAGTTTAAAGTTCCAGGCCTTCTAAAAAACATTTCAGAAAAGTTACCACTAATTGTGAATCAAATACAGAGAATACTTCACTAAAGAGGAAGCTGTAGCCATTTTATAGAGGCTTTCCTAGGCCACACTATTTTCAAAGATAGGAATACATAACCACCTTAAAGAAATGTGTTGCAAAAAGTATGATGGTCGTACTTTCCTTTTTCAAGCCTCTGTGTCACTACAAACCTAACCCTCACATTCTACTGTGAAATCTATACAGTTGATTCTTGTTATTCATGGTTGTTATGTCTATAGCATTGCTATGAAGATAGAATTAGCGAACACTGAACCATTGTTCTTAGGGGAAATACAAGGTTAGGTTCCTGTGAGCCTCTGGTTACATTTTTGTCCACAGATCAATACATAATCTTGTGTTATGAGTGTTTCTGTTTTAAAGAAAATGTATTGGCTGGGTGCAGTGGCTCATGCTTGTAATCCCAGCACTTTGGGAGGCCAAGGTGGGAGGACTGCTTGAGCCCAGGAGTTCAACACCAGACCAGGCAACACACTAAGACCTCATTTCTAAAAATTTTTTTTAAAAGAAAACTTACTGGGGCCAGGCACGGTGGCTCATGCCTGTAATCTCAGCACTTTGGGAGGCCAAAGTGGGCGGATCACGAGGTCAGGAGATTGAGACCATCCTGGCTACCACAGTGAAACCCCGTCTCTACTAAAAATGCAAAACAAATTAGCCGGGCATGGTGGCAGGCGACTGTAGTCTCAGCTACCTGGGAGGCTGAGGCAGCAAGTAGAATGGCGTGAACCCGGGAGGCAGAGCTTGCTTTGAGATCGCGCCACTGCACTCCAGCCTGGGCGACAGAGTGAGACTCCGTCTCAAAAAAAAAAAAAAAAAAAAAAAAAAGAGAAAACCTATTTGATATACATTATTGTTTCATTAACATTGAACTTATGGCCAACAGCAAAATTATTCAAGCCTGAACAAAGCCAATGTAACACATGTATTTTCTCCGTGAGACACATCACAGCCTTCCGGTGCTTGGGAACCCTAGACAGCACTTCAGCACCATGCATGGGTGCCATTTTAAACCGTGAAATCACACACGAAATATAAAAAATGTGGCATCAAATAGATGAACGGACACTTGTTTATGGTATGAGAAGTAAAGGAAGAGAGCAGAGTGTCACTTTGTGCCAGCTCAGCTGGGAACATGGGCTTTGGGGAACTCAAATTTTTTGCAGTCTGTGCATGCCCAAGAATGACCCTGAAAGCATTTTCAGTATTGATCTGGGATTACAGATACATTTTAGCAGGAATGTGAATTCACACATACAGAATCTGTAAATAATGAGGATTAACTATATTTAGGCTTTAGAATGTATTCTATACAATTCAACTTACCCTTTAGGATCACCAACTAGACAGTCCATTTCTGGCTGAGAGGGGCTACGTCTGGTTTTGCTTGCCGTTGTATGAATCACTCAACCCACACTCTATCTAGTCCCACCACTCACTGTTGTGCTATCTTTATGCGATAGGTTGTCGCATGAATAAATGTACAGGACTTGCTCATTCAGATTCTGTTAGGGTGTTCCACAGAAGGTCAAAAATCAGCAAAACTCTGGATCACAAGTATTTAAAAATTCCCCAGGCAACTGTCCCCTAACCTCCTCCCCCAATCAACTGGCTGGTCCCCCATTTCCAAACACAAAGCCCAGCCCATCCCAGCTTTCAGAAACTTGTCTCCTTATTCCCTGCTGCATGTGCGTGGGCCTTCAAAAAGCCTTTGTGAAAGCTCTAGCTGCTGAATATTTGATGAGCAACATATGGTTGAATGATAGAATCAGTTACTGCTATTCAAAGACAGATGCAGCCCAATCAGCACCTTCTCACTGCTCTCAGCTCACTCCTATGGGACAAGTGTTGGCTGAACTCTCACTTTTATGAAAATGTGGTCAGCACAGCCTGTATCCTTGATCATGGCCTTCTAATAACCTGGCTGTTGAATGAGCCGGGGGATAAATAAGTAATCAATCCTCACCTACTGCACAGTCAGCTAACTGGTGATAAATAAGTAATCAATCCTCACCTACTACACAGTCAGCTAACAAGTAATTGTGGAAGTGAGAGAGTGCACGCGTCCACACAGCTACCTGGCAGGTGCTCCTTTGCGCCGTGGCTCCGCTGGGTGCTCGCTCAGGTCTTGCCTCTCTATGAGCCACTTTCTGGGCTCCCTCCATCTCTTGTTCTCCTGAGGGCCTGGCCTCTTTCTAACTCTCAATACAGGATAAAGCAGTTAGGAATTATGTCGACCATTTAGTTCTGCACGGAATGGTCATGCCAAGGAGGCCAAGGCAGGCCAGGACTTGACAGATACAATCTACTGTGCAGTGCTCCGGCAGCCAGGCTATAGAGAAGCCATACAAGAGGGCTGAGGAAGGTGGAAGAGGAAATGTACAGGGGCATCTGTGGGGAGCCAGGGCTCATCTTCAGGAAATTGTGTATTGCTCCAAAACTTGTCTTTGATACGCTCTCTCTTACTTTTTCCTGCAAGGCCACTGCTAGCCCACTCATGGGACTCCTTAATATTCTAGTTTATGCAATTCAGAACTACAGTATTAGGTTTTGGTAGCAAAACAAGGACCAGATTTCCGTCTTCACTCATCCTTTCCATGGGGGCATGTGCAGGGCATGGCCTGTCCAGGTACACTCAGGAGCCCCGTTTTCTGCACGTGCCTCCCTGGGGTCCTCCTTACTGCATGGTACCTCCCACCACTGCTGCCCTTGCTCTCAGAGAATGGACGCAAACTTGTCCGAGCTGTTGGATGGTCAGCTAAGGTTGTGGATACAGACACAGTGGTGGTGACTGGCAAGTGGATGATTCACTGGGTGAGCATTCAGGAATAGCAGTGGGATGGGGGTGGGGAGCAAGGTTGGAATGGAGTAGGAGCGAGGGAGCCGCGCAGTGCAGCAAAGGCTCCTGCCTATCCCACAAGACGGCCCGGGGGAATTGTCCAAGAACAGGGCAAGGGGCAAGGGGACAGGGACTCCTCTCCTCCCTCCCCATCCCCCAAATTCCACTCTTGGAAATGAGAGCCACATCCACAACAAAGAGGAGGCAAAGCTTGGATAAGGCAGATCCTTTTAGCAGAAAACAGTTCCCAGAACAGACACAGCCATGAGCTTTCAGACACCAACACTCCAGGCAATAGGGAGAATCGAAGTCTTGGTCCTAAGGAGGAGGGCACGGGGGGAATCTGGGGAGAGCACTACAGCAGCCACCACACTGGGAGTTAGGGCCTTTCTCCACAACAACTAAGAGTATGGCTTTGACAGGTGTCCCTGCATCTTAAAAGAGCAGTTTTCATTCCGCAGATGCTATTAGACCCCAGGGAATGCGAATATAATGATGATGACATTGATGTTTGAGGGTGACATTCCTTTGCACCTAAGTGCAAAGGGACCTGTAAGAGTTAATGGCTGGCCAGGTTGCCAGGAAAGAGGAAAAACAGGCATCTTGAGGACGTGAAATCCACATGCAATCCTGCACACACGCATGCTCAGGTACTCCAGGCCTTCCTCCTGCATGGTCTGCAGCTCTGAAAGTGGTTCCAGGCCAACCCACCCAGTGACACCTGCTGGGTGTAGACAGTCAAGAGCACAGCGGCAGCCACTGCCACCAACAGCATGTGACACCTCTTCAAGCCTGAAAGCCCCTGCTCCTGACTGCCCGAGGAGACTATTAGTGACTTTCCCCAATACCCCTTAAGGGCACAAAATACTGGCAAGCAAAAATGCAGAAAATAAATCTAGGCAAAATTAACTTTTTAAAAAATGGAGAAAGGGAAGAGGGAAAGAAGAAAGGACAAAATGGTGACCCACAAGATTGAAAAGACCTGTCTTACGGTTACTCATGGCTCTGGGGCCAAGCGGACTGCCTGGCCCATTTCAGACACTCAGTAATGCTTATTCTGTGACCAAAGGAAATGAATGCATATTTTGTACCAGTATTCTCAGTGTGTTTATTTGACTTCCCTGCTTAATGCTGAGGAAATACTAAAAGGCAGCTTAAAGCACAGTAATTGTCTACTTACATGTTGGAAGGCAAGTGCCCAACATGCATAATCTCTACATTTATCTTCCCTCACTATTAATTTTATAGTAAGATACAGCAGAATGAGGGAAATGCTTATATAGATAACTGAATTATTTATATTAGAAGCTTTCACTCACTGAATCAATTTTTAAAAATGATAGTTTCAGGAATTATTCAGTAGCCTCTGTGTGTTTCTTAATTTCCTTATCTGTAAAACATAAATAATACTATACCTGTCTCATGGGTATGGAAGCATTAAATGAATTACTATGTAGAAAGCTTGGGACAGTTGCCTGGCATATAGCTATACTGTGTTTCCTGTTTATTCTTCTTATAATTAATAATCTGCACTTTTTGAAAGTTAAATATAAATTTTCATCTCAAAAGGCTATTTCCTGTGAATCAACTCAAATTCAAATGGGTCTGTTTAGGCAAAATAGCTACAGATGAAGTAAAGCTCAGATGCTCTAATAAATTATTCCATCAGAAATTAGTCTCGTCCAGGCTTTGAAGCAAGTCAGCTTCAAAAAAACTGAAATAAATTGACTCAAAAAATACATAAACAAATCAGCTACAGGTAAACACCTTTAAAGGGAAAATAACCCTAAGAAGTCAAAGGAGGAGCTACGGTTTCCTCCTCTTGAGGGCTTTATCCATCTCTTCAGCACGTATCAGGCCTGATGAGTTCTTGTGAACAGCACTGCCAGCCCCTCAGTGTTCTCTCCAGGATCAGTAACAAGCACTCAACATTCGAGGAAGCAGGAATCTGAGAATTCAAGTAACTTGCTGGAGATTATGCAGTGAATAGATGGCAGAGCCAGATTAATATTCTGGTGACCAAGGGTCTGTCTTCTTTACCTTTGTATGCCTAACTGCCTAGTACAAGGCCTGGTAGAGCAGACACCAGGTAACGTTTGTCAAATGAGTAAATGAAAGAATGGTAACTTGAAGAGCTGATCAACAAACTGACACCAACTCAAGTGAACTAACTCAACTGTAATAACAGGGCAGCATTTAAATAAAAGGTGATATGGTTTGGCTGCATCCCCACCCAAATCAAATCTTGAATTGTAGCTGTCATAATTCCCACATGTTGTGGGAGGGACGTGGTGGAAGGTAACTGAATCATGGGGATGGTTTCCCCCATACTGTTCTCACGGTAGTAAGTCTCAAGAGATCTGATGATTTTATAAGACATTTCCCCTTTTGCTTGGCTCTCCTTCTGTCTTGCCTGCCACCATGTAAGACATGCCTTTCGCCTCCCACCATGATTGTGAGGCCTCCCCAGCCACGTGGAACTGTGAGTCCATTAAACCTCTTTTTCTTTATAAATTACCCAGTTTCAGCTATGTCTTTATCAGCAGCATGAAAACGGAGTAATACAAAAGGTGAAGCCATATTTTAGATAACACTTATTGTAGCCAAATAAAGCAAAAAGCTTGGGGCTTCTGAAATACTTTCTTTAGTCGTATAATATGACCTAGTGTTTCCTAAACTGAGAATTATAGGCTGCCTGAAACTCCCTCTGTCTGACTGAGTAGTGTATGCCCAATATAAGGCAACAATGGAATATGACATCTGTACCATCTCAAAAAAGAACAACTAAAATAACCTAAAAGACCCGCATTAATTTATTTAAAAATTCAAGAAACAGGCGTCTAATTTTTTTTAGCATTCCTTTTGGTGGTGAGCTGATATTGATAATAAAACACCTAATAATTCACCCAATTAAATATTTTCCTGTGTTTTGCTTTATTATGACATAATAAAACATAATAATAATAATAAGCCTAATGGTATAAGCACTGTTTTTAACCAAAACCAGATGCAATCAGCTTTAAATGTCTGCTACTATTTCCTTTTTGATGTCTAAACATGTCTTTACAAGTTACAGATCGCACTGCCTCTTCAAATGGGGCATCGTTTTTCTTTTCTGAGGGGCCATTAGTGATCTGGCAAAGTGTATGCTGGGTCAGAGCCTCAGGATAAGGTGCTTTTGGTGTTTATTTTACACACACACACACACACACACACACACACACACGATTACTTACAGGATTAGCACAACTTCCTTTTAAAGTAGAACCCTTGTCCAGAGCAGAGTAGAATAAAATATGTTTTTCTATCTTCTAAGGACTTTGACAACAGGTTACAAAAGTTAACTTGATCTGCTAAAAATTTCACTTGGTTACAATTGTCACCAAAGCACAGTAAGCCCCTCCCTTCCTACCCCTTTCTAATTCTGCCTCTCCAAATGTTGGAAAAGATCCTAAAAAACTATATATATATAAAATTAATAATAAATTTTGAGTGTAAATGCAAGGAAATATATCTGGGGAATTGCTACTTTGCTCAAGATAACAAAGCAAAATTTACCAGGTTTAAAAAAAAAAAAACTCAAATGATATTTCAGAAACCTACCCCTTTCAAAACAAGGAGGAGAAAAATCTTCTCCACAAAAGCACATATTGAAAAAATATTTTGGGGGCAAGGCCTGAAAGGGTTGGCAGTGTGCAGTTCTGTTATTATTCCCGTGGCCATTTTATGGGCCTCAGCAAAACACTGGGGTCATTATCTGTCTTCTGGTTACTCCAGGAGAGCTAGCCATCACAACCCAATGGAAGAGACTTCAGAGAAACCCACACAGGCACCAGAAGTCCTTCCCTTTCATCTGCCACTGTGGGGTTTTGTCCTCATCTATTACAATGTTGTCCAATCTCAGACTGCATTCAGAACAAAGGCTCTCAGACTGAGGATGAGTTCTTGGATAAGACGACAACTTTGTTCTTAGAAATAATTAACACACCTTAGACAGCAACCATCACTTAGGATGTGTGTGTGTGTGTGTGTGTGTGGGTGTGGGTGTGGGTGTGGGTGTAACATAAACATTTCATATACGAACTGATTAGATGATGATTCTTCTAAAATAGTCTGGCTGTAGGACAACGGCTAGTGTTGCCCAGGAAGTGTAGTCTTGTGATTTGGAGCACATTTCTTCTCAACTAGCCCCCAATAAATAACTGATTCTCCCAAGAAAGAAGTAGATATGACCTGTCCATCTACTCCAGCCTGCAAGAGCACATATTCACAAAGATAGCTTGTTGGCAGGACTAAATAAGCAAACAGAAACAATTTCCAGCAGAGAGTAAATGTCACACTGTAGCTGGATGCGTGTCCCCTATCTCAGACTGCGGCCACTTTACTGATAATATCAGAACGATCAATTATTGTGAGTAAATGGAAGGATGTTTCTGTAGTTCTTGTTGAAACCAACTGAAAAGGGCTCTGGACTTTGGACAATTTCAGAATCAAAAACTAAGAATTTATGACCTGGTGCATGACTGGAGGAAGCATCTATGCCAGCTTTGTGGGTAGGACCTCTGTGGACAACTGGAAAGGCTTGGTGAAGTGAAGCCACGAAAGAAAAGCAGGAAGTAGACTGACCAAAATGTACCAGGTCTCACTGAGGCAGTTTCAATTTTTCAATAGGAGAAAAGAGCTTTAATTTCAGTGCCTCCTTATGTGGTATTCTTAGTTTAAGTGATTTTTATTCCAGTTAGCTTCATAATTTTTTTTTTTCATTTCAGAATGGAGGTTCTGCTTTTGCAATCAATGGTTTTTCTATTCTCTAATACAATGAGTTAGTGTATAGAGGGTACTTAGAATAGTACCTGGCACACAGAAATGTGACATAAAATTCAGTGCTTCAGATAAAGAACCTCTCCAGATTAATCTCTGAGTCTCTGGGCTGTCCCAAATGGATACTGCTTGACTTTTACAGTCAGGATTCTAGGATGAATCCAGTGAGTTAACACTTCCTCAGGATGCTGCCTTCTCACCTGGGTATCTCATTTCATAACATGTGAGATCACATACATTCATCATGGAAAACTACATAGTTACTCCACGTGTATTCGCCCAGCTGTTCTCATTCAAATAAACCTCAAGCCTCCACATTCATGATAAGGAGTCACCTTTGAACCCTTTGTTTTATACTAGTCTTTTTTTAAATTTGACAAGTCTAATTTAATCAGTTTAGAGAAATAAAAGCATCACTGGAGTAAGGAGGTGGCTTTCTAAGATTGCTACATTGAAAGAGTTACCACTCAATAAGATATATAAAATCTAATATGTTTGAGAGGTGACTTTAATTAAGAGCAGTGTTTTTCTCCACCTTTTTTATCCTCTACAAATCCAAATATAGTCTTTTGGGAAGAACAATCCTTCAATTAATATTTGGTGAAAGAAATAATTGGTCACACTTAATATGATATATTATCTATGTAACATACAGGTATGTGATGATCTATCTGCACCAATGCATATTAAAATATCTCCCTTAAGCATACTCACATTATCTCTCCAGACCCTTGTTCCCAGAGCCTGGTGATGTATCAGCCAACAAGTATTTATTAAGTGACTAGGTTTCCTTCTTTCTTTGCAAATTTGCAGGAGCGTTAGCTCTGTCGTCAAGGGCATGAGTCAGAACAACACAGTGGCTGAGTGTGGCTCACCCATGCAGCACCTGGGTGTCCTGCAGCTTGCTATGAACCCACATGAAACTCAGTCTTTGTCTGTGACATGAGGATTATTGATCATAGTAACAGCTCCCTTAAACGTGTGTTGTGAAAATTAAATTAATAAATTCATGTAAATAATTTTATGAACTTAGTAGAGAGGGCTATCAGCTCTTTAATGACCAATCAATTAATCTAAGTACTATGTAACTAAAAATTGGACACACCAGCTGTATCTTGGAGTAGTACACCAAAAAAACCTTGCAAATTTCATATTTCTTTACTAATATTTAGAAAGCACTAGTAAGATCCTATAGTAAAGACTGGCTATAGTCACACAAATGAGAATAAGATTTCTAAGTCTAGCTCACTCTGACATTCAAATTAATAATGCTGTGCTTCAAAATAATAATAACAACAGCCCACTTAAAAATTTATTAGAGACAGGGTTTCGCAACATTGCCTAGACTGGCCTCCTGGGATCAAGGGATCTTCCCACCTTAGCCTCCCAAGCAGCTGGGGCTACAGACAGGTGCCACTGTGATGGGCATGTTAGCCAATATTTACTGAGCACTTATTGTGGCCTTTTTCCATATTGCATCTGTTTCAATCCAAATAAAATACACTCTTCTACCATATTGACCAGTATGTGGCACTCACTATATCATAAGTTATAAGGAACCTGTAATATATCGGGTTAAAAGACTTAATACCTCGGGCTGGGTGCAGTGGCTCATGCCTGTAATCCCAGCACTTGGGAGGCCAAGGCAGTTCAGGAGTTCGAGACCAGCCTGGACAACGTGGTAAAACCCCGTCTCTACTAAAAAAAAAAAATTGTAAAAATTAGCCAGGGGTGGTGGTGCATCCCTGTAATCCCAGCTACTTGGGAGGCTGAGGTGGGAGAATCGCTTGCACCTGGGAGGTGGAGGCTGCAGTGAGCCGAGATCACATCACTGCACTCCAGCCTGGGCGACAGAGTGAAACCCCATCTCAAAATAAACAAATAAACAAAAACCGTAATACCTCATTAGTTTGCAATTCTTGGGCGACCTGACCTGACGTTAATTATACATTAGTTAATAAATTTAATGCAGGACAATCTCAATCCTAATGGAAGGCACAGTTTGTGAAGAGCAAGAAAATGTTCATCTCCTTCCCTACAGTATTACATACTTAAATAAAATGCCCATCCTTGTAAGCGAAAGCATAAAACATTTTTAAGAGTCTTGATTTCTTTAATTACTCATGATCCTGCAATCCTAATTAAATCTAAAAGCCAAATCCCATGGCTTATGATATCCTAAGCTTCTGTCTCCAGAGGACTGCTGCATGCAATAACTATTCTCTGATGTTTGCTATTATGAAGATTGACATAAGCACAGGACTAGAGTTAGTTTCATACGTTCGTCTAAAATCCTAGACACTGGAAATAAAATTCATTCATTCTACAAATATTTACTGAACGAACGCCTGCTATATACATCAGGCAACCTTCGGGCAAAAAAGCATATCCTTGCCATCTTGATGTTTATATACTGGAAGGGAAAGACATTCTACATAAATGTATTAACATAAAACCCTGACTTGGTTTACAGTGAGATGCTCCTAAAAGGCTGAGGAACCAAGGCTTCCTGCCAAACACTCCCTCATTCTCCAGTGAACACTGCGAAAAAGAATATTTATTTTCAACCCATAGCCCCCACCCTGTGGAGATATGAAAGAATCAGTGTTGGGAAAACTGAGAGTTGGATACGGTTGAGAGAATGCCAAGCCCAGGGAGAGGAGCATGGATGAGATGATCCTGGGGTGTGGGGGACTTGCTAGACTGATGAGGCACTCCTGCCTGAGAAACTGGAGGGCAGAAGCACTGGGGACTGCTTAGCATTTCACCGAGGGGCAGCCAGGCACGGTGGCTCACGCCTGTAATCCCAGCACTTTGGGAGGCCGAGGAGGGCAGATCACGAGGTCAGGAGATCAAGACTATCCTGGCTAACACGGTGAAACCCCGTCTCTACTAAAAACACAAAAAATTAGCTGGGCGCGGTGGCAGGCGCCTGTAGTCCCAGCTACTCGGGAGGCTGAGGCAGGAGAATGGCGTGAACCCGGGAGGCAGAGCTTGCAGTGAGCCGAGATCGTGCCACTGCACTCCAGCCTGGGCGAAAGAGTGAGACTCTGTCTCAAAAAAAAAAAAAAAAAAAAAAGAATTTCACCAAGGGGCAGGGGCAGGGTCGCCCCACAGAGGAGGTTTGCAGGGAGAATCAAGGGGGAAAATAAAAGAGCTGAGTGGCAGGGTGTGCAACTCCAGCTCTTGCTATGGATTTGTCGCACAAATAATTTTGGAAAGGTATAAATACCAAGAAAAATAAAACCTGCTCATAACATGAAAAATAAATGTGGGTATGTCAGCTTTAGTTAAGGGGGTGAGGGAAGAGGTTTTAAGGAGGGACATCTAAGATAAACCTGAATTCTGGGAGGAGGCCATCATTCAAAATCTGGGGAAGAGAATTCCAGGCAAAGGGAGCTGTGACAGCACAGAGGTGCCAATTCAAACTAGGGTGAATTCTACAACTAATAACAGTGACTCAGTGACTATTTGTGTAGTAATTTTATATTTTGTTTTAAATTATGTCTGCTTATTTGATCCCCACAAAGCCTAATAACCCTGAGGGATTTGGGTCTCCAGTTGCAGTGGGGGAAATCTTGACCAAAACAAGTGACACCCAGGCCCAGGTCAAGTCAGTTGCAGGCTGGGCCTCTGAGCCGCGCTGGGCCTGGGCTGCAGCATCTGGCCGAGTGTGTGCACCCTTCCCCGTTGTGTGCGCCCTTCGCTGGGTGTGATAGCCACTTCTGTGTCAAGGTCCCACCACCTCTATGCTGACTCCTCTGCCCTCGAGCTCCATCAGGGACAAAGGTCCCTGCTTCAAAGACCTTCCGAGATCTGGTTCCCCAGCAATGGAGGCTGAGATGGATTCCTGGGGCAGGAGGGTTATGGGGCAATTCCCTTGCAGGGATACCTGGCAGGGAGTGAGGAAATCCAGACCCCACAGAGAGACAGATCAGATTGTCATGCTCTTGCAGTGGGGGCCTCAGCTGCTGGGATGCTCTGGAGCTGCCACAGCCCTTCAGAGACTTTCCAGCTTTGAGGCCTCGGCACCCTGTGCTGAGTGGTCATTGGGTCCAGGCTGCCCCTGGCCGGGGAAGAGAAGTTTGTGTAAAGCAGCTCCCTTCAGCCACCCCCAATTCCCAGGGAGGGATTTTGCTCAGAGTGGTCAAGGAAACACCTCCCAGCTGCTGGGAATGGGAGGCTCAGTCCCAAATCACTCCATAGCATCCACTGCACACAGCTCTTCAGAAGAAATTCTCACAGAGAGAAGAGCCTCGAGAGGAAGTCAGTGTGGATGGAACTAAATTTTTAGAAATCTAGGCTCTTAGAATTCTTGATTTGCTATTTCAGATCTTCAAGTGTGTAATTATCTCAGTAGGTGAGGCCCCAACCAGAAATCAGGAATCACTCTAAGCATTTTGAAAAGAGAACATTAAATAGAGAGGATTGGTTACTGAAGGGGATGGACCAAAAGGAATGTTGAAGCAACTGGAACATCAACAAGGCAGGAAGGCTGCAGGGAGCCAGGCAGGGTCATGAGAAGAGCTCAAGAACGAGGGCCATCCAGGAGCTGCTAGACCTTCAGGAGAAGGTCCAGAAATGGCTCTATGTACAACCAGGCCTCGCCTGGGCCTCTTCACAGTCAGCTGTGTCCATTAGCCTTTCCAGGTGTCCATGGTGCTCCTACCCACAAACCTAGGATAGATGCTTCCTCCAGTCATGCAACAGATCATAAATTCTTAGTTTTTGATTCTGAAATTGTCCAGAGCCCTTTTCAGTTGGTTTCAGCAGGAACAACTATCAGTCCATAAATTCCATCTGTGAGTAACTAGGAATATTCTGTGCATTGAATGAAGACTGAAGGGAGAGGACATTGGATCAATGGTGGGTACTTAACTAATGACTAGCTTGGGATGTTCACAGCTGATGGACACAGCTGACAGTGAAGAGGCCCAGGCAAGATCTGGTTGCACAGAGTGCCATTTCTGGACCTTCTCCTGAGGGTCTAGCGGCTCCTGGATGGCTCTCGTTCTTGAGCTCTGTTCATGCTGCCCCTTTGGCTCCCCCCAGCCTTCCTGCCTTGACAATGTTCCAGTTGCTTCAACATTCCTTTTGGCTTCCTAAATCTTCCATCCCCTTCAGTAACCAATCCTTTCTGTTTAATGTTCTCTTTTTAAAAAGCTTAGAGTGATTCCTGATTGCTAGTTGGGGCCTTATCTACTGAGGTAATTACACACATCAAGATCTGAAACAGCAAATCAAGAACTCTAAAAGCCCAGATTTCTAAAAACAGGAAGTCATTTAGTCAAATCCCTGTCTTTTGATAATTCCCTTCACAACAGTATTGTAAAGTGATTTTCTGGTTCTCTGTTAACTCTTTCTTTGCTGCTTAAAGTTGGAAACAATAGCTTGGATTTGCAGGGAGGTGGATTTCAGGTTGATTCAAGAAAGAACCGTCTGATAATACTATAGACTTCCCAGGGCCGCAGATAGCTCCCTGGTACCATTAATATCTAAGAAGAAACCAAGTGACCAGTCAACGTGGCTATTGTAGAATATTCCACCACTGGTTGCTGCAATACACTTGATAACTCCTAAAAGCTGTTCCAACTTTAAAAATCCATGATTCTGTAAGTTGCAGCCCTCACTAATCAGACAATACCCACCAGTTAAGTGTACTGAGCCTACAAGCATTTTTAAAAACAAAATTCTTTCACATTTTGTCATATATCTAACTGCTGATCATCTTCTTTCTTCTATAGCACAGTAGTATGTAACACTTTGCAACAAATCATCAGCTTAAACATAGGCATGGGAAAGCATCTAATAATACTCAGATATTCTTTGTCCTGTTGACGGCACTGAGAGCAAAACAGTGGATAGCCCTGGTCTACAGAACAGTGGAGAGACTGGAATTTTATGTTAAAGACTGCCCCGGTCTACAGAACAGTAGAGAGACTGGAATTTTATGTTTAAGACTGCCCCAAGACAGCAACATTTGCTGCTCACCAGTATCCACTGTTCTGCAGCCTCCGCTGCTGTTACCCAGGCAAACAGGGTCTGGAGTGGACCTCCAGCAAACTCCAACACACCTGCAGCTGAGGGTCCTCACTGTTAGAAGGAAAACTAACAAACAGAAAGGACATCCACACCAAAACCCCATCATCAAAGACCAACCACAAAGTTGGGGAAAAAACAGCTGGAAATCTGAAAACTCTAAAAATCAGAGCACCTCTCCTCCTCCAAAGGAACGCAGCTCCTCACCAGCAATGGAACAAAGCTGGACGGAGAATGATTTTGACAAGTTGAGAGAAGAAGACTTCAGATGATCAAACTACTCTGAGCTAAAGGAGGAAGTTCGAAAACATGGCAAAGAAGTTAAAAACCTTGAAAAAAAATTAGACGAAAGGCTAACTAGAATAACCAGTGCAGAGAGGTCCTTAAAGGACCTGATGGAGCTGAAAACCAAGGCAGGAGAACTATGTGATGAATGCACAAGCTTCAGTAGCCAATTTGATCAACTGGAAGAAAGGGTATCGGTGATGGAAGATGAAATGAATGAAATGAAGCAAAAAGAGAAGCTTAGAGAAAAAAGAATAAAAAGAAACGAACAAAACCTCCAAGAAATATGGGACTATGTCTGATTGGTGTACCTGAAAGTGACAGGGAGAATGGAACCAAGTTGGAAAACACTCTGCAGGATATTATACAGAAGAACTTCCCCAATCTAGCAAGGCAGGCCAACATTCAAATTCAGGAAATACAGAGAATGCCACAAAGATACTTCTCGAGAAGAGCAACTCCAAGACACATCATTGTCAGATTCACCAAAGTTGAAATGAAGGAAAAAATGTAAAGGGCAGCCAGAGAGAAAGGTTGGGTTACCCACAAAGGGAAGCCCACCAGACTAACAGCTGATTTCTCGGCAGAAACTCTACAAGCCAGAAGAGAGTGGGGGCCAATATTCAACATTCTTAAAGAAAAGAATTTTCAACCCAGAATTTCATATCCAGCCAAACTAAGCTTCATAAGTGAAGGAGAAATAAAATACTTTACAGACAAGCAAATGCTGAGAGATTTCATCACCACCAGGCCTACCCTACAAGAGCTCCTGAAGGAAGCACTAAACATGGAAAGGAACAACCAGTACCAGCCACTGCAAAAACATGCCAAATTGTAAAGGCCATCGATGCTAGAAAGAAACTGCATCAACTAACAGGCAAAATAACCAGCTAACATCATAATGACAGGATCAAATTCACACATAACAATATTAACCTTAAATGCAAATGGGCTAAATGCTCCAATTAAAAGACACAGATTGGCAAATTGGATAAAGAGTCAAGACCCATCAGTGTGCTGTATTCAGGAAACCCATCTCATGTGCAGAGACACACATAGGCTCAAAATAAAGGGATGGAGGAAGATCTATCATGCAAATGGAAAACAAAAAAAGGCAGGGGTTGCAATCCTAGTCTCTGATAAAACAGACTTTAAACCAACAAAGATCAAAAGAGACAAAGAAGGCCATTACATAATGGTAAAGGGATCAATTCAACAAGAAGGGCTAACTACCCTAAATATATATGCACCCAATACAGGAGCACCCAGATTCATAAAGCAAGTCCTTAGAGACCTAGAAAGAGACTTAGACTCCCACACAATAATAATGGGAGACTTTAACACCCCACTGTCAACATTAGACAGATCAATGAGACAGAAAGTTAACAAGGATATCCAGGAATTGAACTCAGCTCTGCACCAAGTGGACCTCATAGACATCTACAGAAGTCTCCACCCCAAATCAACAGAATATACATTCTTCTCAGCACCACACCGCACTTATTCCAAAATTGACCACATAGTTGGAAGTAAAGCACTCCTCAGCAAATGTAAAAGAACAGAAATTATAAGAAACTGTCTCTCAGACCACAGTGCAATCAAACTAGAACTCAGGATTAAGAAACTCATTCAAAACCACTCAACTACCTGGAAACTGAACAACCTGCTCCTGAATGACTACTGGGTACATAATGAAATGAGGGCAGAAATAAAGATGTTCTTTGAAACCAACGAGAACAAAGACACAACGTACCAGAATCTCTGGGACACATCCAAAGCAGTGTGTAGAGGGAAATTTATAGCACTAAATGCCCACAAGAGAAAGCAGGAAAGTTCTAAAATTGACACCCTAACATCACAATTAAAAGAACTAGAGAAGCAAGAGCAAACACATTCAAAAGCTAGCAGAAGGCAAGAAATAACTAAGATCAGAGCAGAACTGAAGGAGATAGAGACCAAAAAACCCTTCAAAAAATCAATGAATCCAGGAGCTGGTTTTTTGAAAAGATCAACAAAATTGATAGACTGCTAGCAAGACTAATAAAGAAGAAAAGAGAGAAGAATCAAATAGACGCAATAAAAAATGACAAAGGGGATATCACCACCGATCCCACGGAAATACAAACTACCATCAGAGAATACTATAAACACCTCTATGCAAATAAACTAGAAAATCTAGAAGAAAAGGATAAATTCCTTGACACATACACCCTCCCAAGACTAAACCAGGAAGAAGCTGAATCTCTGAATAGACCAATAACAGGCTCTGAAATTGAGGCAATAATTAATAGCTTACCAACCAGAAAAAGTCCAGGACCAGATGGATTCACAGCCGAATTCTACCAGAGGTACAAGGAGGAGCTGGTACCATTCCTTCTGAAACTATTCCAATCAATAGAAAAGAGGGAATCCTCCCTAACTCATTTTATGAGGCCAGCATCATCCTGATACTAAAGCCTGGCAGAGACACAACAAAACAAGAGAATTTTAGACCAATATCCCTGATGAATATCGATGCAAAAGTCCTCAATAAAATACTAGCAAACCGAATCCAGCAGCACATAAAAAGCTTATCCACCATGATCAAGTGGGCTTCATCCCTGGGATGCAAGGCTGGTTCAACATACGAAAATCAATAAACGTAATCCAGCATATAAACAGAACCAATGACAAAAACCGTATGATTATCTCAATAGATGCAGAAAAGGCCTTTGACAAAATTCAACAACCCTTCATGCTAAAAACTCTCAATAAATTAGGTATTGATGGGACGTATCTCAAAATAATAAGAGCTATCTATGACAAACCCACAGCCAATATCATACTGAATGGGCAAAAACTGGAAGCATTCCCTTTGAAAACTGGCACAAGACAGGGATGCCCTCTCTCACCACTCCTATTCAACATAGTGTTGGAAGTTCTGGCCAGGGCAATCAGGCAGGAGAAGGAAATAAAGGGTATTCAATTAGGAAAAGAGGAAGTCAAATTGTTCCTGTTTGCAGATGACATGATTGTATATCTAGAAAACCGAATCGTCTCAGCCCACAATCTCCTTAAGCTGATAGGCAACTTCAGCAAAGTCTCAGGATACAAAATCAATGTACAAAAATCACAAGCATTCTTATACACCAAAAACAGACAAACAGAGAGCCAAATCATGAGTGAACTCCCATTCACAATTGCTTCAAAGAGAATAAAATACCTAGGAATCCAACTTACAAGGGACGTGAAGGACCTCTTCAAGGAGAACTACAAACCACTGCTCAATGAAATAAAAGAGGATACAAACAAATGGGGAAGAACATTCCATGCTCATGGGTAGGAAGAATCAATATCGTGAAAATGGCCATACTGCCAAAGGTAATTTATAGATTCAATGCCATCCCCATCAAGCTACCAATGACTTTCTTCACAGAATTGGAAAAAACTACTTTAAAGTTCATATGGAACCAAAAAAGAGCCCGCATTGCTAAGTCAATCCTGAGCCAAAAGAACAAAGCTGGAGGCATCATGCTACCTGACTTCGAACTATACTACAAGGCTACAGTAACCAAAACAGCATGGTACTGGTACCAAAACAGAGATATAGACCAATGGAACAGAACAGAGCCCTCAGAAATAATGCCGCATACCTACAACTATCTGATCTTTGACAAACCTGACAAAAACAAGAAATGGGGAAATGATTCCCTATTTAATAAATGGTGCTGGGAAAACTGGCTAGCCATATGTAGAAAGCTGAAACTGGATCCCTTCCTTACACCTTATACAAAAATTAATTCAAGATGGATTAAAGACTTAAATGTTAGACCTAAAACCATAAAAACTCTAGAAGAAAACCTAGGCAATACCATTCAGGACATAGGCATGGGCAAGGACTTCATGTCTAAAACACCAAAAGCAATGGCAACAAAAGCCAAAATTGACAAATGGGATCTAATTTAACTAAAGAGCCTCTGCACAGCAAAAGAAACTACCATCAGAGTGAACAGGCAACCTACAAAATGGGAGAAAATTTTTGCAATCTACTCATCTGACAAAGGGCTAATATCCAGAATCTACAATGAACCCAAACAAATTTACAAGAAAAAAACAAACAACCCCATCAAAAAGTGGGTGAAGGATATGAAGAGGCACTTCTCAAAAGAGGACATTTATGCAGCCAAAAGACACACGAAAAAATGCTCATCATCACTGGCCATCAGAGAAATGCAAATCAAAACCACAATGAGATACCATCTTACACCAGTTAGAATGGCCATCATTAAAAAGTCAGGAAACAACAGGTGCTGGAGAGGATGTGGAGAAATAGGAACACTTTTACACTGTTGGTGGGACTGTAAACTAGTTCAACCATTGTGGAAGTCAGTGTGGCAATTCCTCAGGGATCTAGAACTAGAAATACCATTTGACACAGCAATCGCATTACTGGGTATATACCCAAAGGATTATAAATCATGCTGCTATAAAGACACATGCACATGTATGTTTACTGCGGCATTATTCACAATAGCAAAGACTTGGAACCAAACCAAATGTCCAACAATGATAGACTGGATTAAGAAAATGTGGCACATATATGCCATGGAATACTATGCAGTATTATATTATATGCAGCATATTATAAAAAAGGATGAGTTCATGTCCTTTGTAGGGACATGGATGAAGCTGGAAACCATCATTCTCAGCAAACTATCACAAGGACCAAAAAACAAACACCACATGTCCTCACTCATAGGTGGGAATTGAACAATGAGAACACATGGACATAGGAAGGGGAACATCACACACCGGGGCCTGTTGTGGGGTGGGGGGAGTGGGGAGGGATAGCATTAGGAGATATACCTAATGTTAAATGATGAGTTAATGGGTGCAGCACACCAACATGGCACATGTATACATATGTAACTAACCTGCACGTTGTGCACATGTACCCTAAAACTTAAAGTATAATAATAAAAAAAAAGACTGCCCCAAGAATGACATCAAAGGTCCACCTTCTAAGTTATGAGACTAATATTCTCCACATCCTGGGCACCTACCTCTATGGATATACACATTGGAAAAATAGTCACACAAGAAAAATACCTCATCAGACCAAATGGTGGGCAGAGGGCCACGGAGCCATGCTTACATGTATGAATCCCACTTCCAGTTCAGGTGGGGTCTGCATTAGCACATCCTGCCAGCAATACATGGTGGCCTAACAGGCTCCTAAGGCTGATTCAAACTTATTGTTTCAGGTGCAGGCTGCCCGGGAGCAGGGAGTGCAGGACTTGCTGACAGTCCCTTCAGTTTGCCAATGTACTTTCATATAATTCACAGAATGTGTATTAACACACACTGGAAAGTCTGAGTATGCTTGAACCTGAGTTTTCCCTAGAAAGCCATGCTGCATTCACTCTTCCAGATCCATCATGCACCACACAGGACCTTGCACCACAAGTAATGTCTAACCGGGGTGTCTAACTTTTGACTTCCCTGGCCACATTGGAAGAAGAAGAATTGTCTTGGGCCACACATAACACTGACACTAATGATATCTGATGAGCAAAAAAAAAAAAGAAAGTCCTCGCATAAATCTCATATTGTTTTAAGAAACTTCGGAAATTTGTGTTGGGCCACACTCAAAACTGTCCTGGGTCCCAGGTTGGACAAGCTTGGTCTAACACAAGATGCCTCAAAACACAGATTTTAGAAACGCATGTGTTCTGCCTACATGTTCAGAAAAAAATGTGATATCCTTGCTTGGAGCCCCTCTGCAACTATATAAACAAACACATAAATGAGGTTATGTTGAATATTAGTCATGGTTCTTGGTGCTAAATGGAGAAAGAGGAAAATAAGTCATCTGAATGCTGCTTTCAGTTGCTCACTGGAAGGATGTGTGTGGATTTTCCTTTCCAACTCCTTCTTCCCTCCTCTTTTACCACGAGCAGTGCCAGCAGAAGCCAGTGCACCTGTTTGTGCTCTGTTTGTGCACTGACCTTGTAACATTTTGTTAGTTCATGATATTTCTTTATGCAGAGAGGATTAAGTTTTTTCCTTTTGATTTTATGTTTCACCTATGATGTCCCTGATAGTGTCAGTCCTTGGCACATCTGAGTATGAACTGATGTCCATAAACCATCAACTGTTTGTCACGTCTGACATTGCTGCATATTCAGGGCTGGTTAGTTTGGGAAAAAGAAAAAGTCAGGGGTTGTCACAGAAGTATGTAGGGGGAAATCCCAGTTACTTGATTTCCAAATAAAACAATAAAGGGCCACACTGATATAAAAGTGATAGGTAACTTAATTGGATATATAAAGGTAGTCATTTTTAAAGCACTTTATTGTGAATGCACGCACAACCTTCTTTCTTTGGAAAAGGAGCTCCACACCGTAGAATAGTAGTTGCCTGTATGCTATAATCTTGTTTCTCAGGCCGGAAACTATTCTGTTTATGCTAATTCCTTTAGGAATGAGGCTGTGGTGGGTGGGGTCTCATTAACAATATATTTTTAGTTTTATAAGGATTTGCATAAACTCACATTTCTCTACCCTTTATATGCATTGTGTATTAAGGATTTAGGTGACTTAGAATTACTGTTATTTAGAGACAGGAAAATCAACATGCCATCTGCAGTCATAACTACTATGATGAATGATCATAACATGCCTTATGAAGTTTACAGAGAATGAGGGAGAATGGGAAAGACAGAGTCATTATTTGTTGTTCTGTGTACACCGTGGTCTTTACTTCTTTTTCTAAAGAGTTGATCACTAACAAGGAAATCACCAATGACCTTTCCCACACCACTCCATAGATGGGGTCAAACAACTTCCTTTTCCTTTCATGTAAACATACGGCCATTGCACTCACCTACAACATTTGGCACAGGCCGTACTTCTCATAACGGTAGAGTTTTGAAAAAAAGACAATTTACTAAATTAACTCAGTGTGGTTTAATTTTAATACTTGTGACAGAACTTGAAGTTGAAAAATTCACAAACCAGAGCATGTTTCCTAATTAGAGCCTCAGAAATTATAGTCACCACTTTATATTCCATGCCTTCAGGTTCTTATAGAGTAACCAGAATGGGAGCTGAAGTGTTGCAGAAACACACTTGAGGAGCTACATCTTCAAATCAAATTATTCTCTTTCATTATGCTATTGAGACATATTTAAGAAACCTCAACTAATGTACGAAGTTATGGCTGGGACAAATCTTCCTACCCCATTCTCCTGTAAATGGCTCATAAATATCAAATGCTGCTCGGCCTCTTCCAGTTGCCACCACACTCTCCCCACAACCCAAAAAACAAATGTATGTACCAATGTTGTCATGCCATTTGTCTTATTTTATTGACAATACTTTGAGTTAGTAGTGTTAACTAGCCAAAACATTCCAGTGATACTGCCATGCTTACTATGAAGCCCTAATAGGGAATTTGTTAACTGTGTAAGTGACAAACATGCATCACAAACAACTTCTATACAGCTCTACTTAGTGTAGTTCTTAAAATGTTTGACACCCACTCCATGCCATATTAGCCCTGCTGCATAGATAACATCTCTGCCATTAGATAAAGGCCATCCCAAGGAGCCCAGCAAAATACATTCAGACTGTATAACTCTGTGGTATACGATAACAAAATTCTCTTACCTTGCATCGTCGTTTTTGTTGGTTCTGAGAACAGAGGAATGAGCAAGAGGTAGATAAGGTAGACAAAGGAGAGCCCATTGTATCGGAATGCACATGCTGTGGGTGGGAAGAGAGAAGAGAGTGAGAAGATCATTAACAAAGGCAGGTTGACAAAACCAGGGGTGCATAACAAAAGATGGTCTCAGATGTCACTGGATCAAACAGTGTCACTTCCTGAATAGATATGTCAATTAAACAGTAATAAATTAGGTATTTATTCTATGTTCATCACTGTGTTGAGCATGACGAGAAGCAGATAATTAAAATACATCATCACTGGTCTTAAAATCTAACCAAGAAATCTGAAGGTAAAAGACAAAACTATTGAAAATAATAATAGCTACAATAATTTAAGGGATACATAGTACAAAAAGATGTAAATTGTGACACCAAACACATAAAATGTTATTGGGGGTGGACTATAAAAGTGCAGACTTTTTGTTTTTTTGTTTGTGACTGAGTTTTGCCCTGTTGCCTAGGCTGGAGTGCAATGGCATGATCTCGGCTCACTGCAACCTCTGCCTCCTGGGTTCAAGTGATTCTCCTGTCTCAGCCTCCCAAGTAGCTGGGATTACAGGTGCACCCCACCACGCCTGGCTAATTTTTATATTTTTAGTAGAGACGGGGTTTCGCCATGTTGGCCAGGCTGGTCTTGAACTCTTGACCTCAGGTAATCTGCCCACCTCAGCCTCCCAAAGTGATGGGATTACAGGCGTGAGCCACCGCATCTGGCCTAGTGCAGACTTTTTATATATGATTAAAGTTAAGTTGCTATCAGTTTAAAATACTCTGTGATACTATAAAATGCTTTATGCAAGCCTCATGGTCACCACAAAGCAAAAACCTATAGTAGATACAAAGTAGACAAAAAGTACAAAATCGAAGCATACCACTAGAGAAAATCACCAAATCACAAAGGAAGACAGCAAGACAGAAAGAAATGAAAAAACTGAAGTACAAAACAATCAGAAAATAACAAACAAAATGACAGCAGTAAGTCCTTAGCTACCAATGATTACCTTAATACAATGTATACTATTAGGTGATGGTTACACTAAAAGCCCAGACTTCACTACTAGGCAATATATCTATGTAATAAAACTGCACTTGTACACCCTAAATATATAAAAATAAAAAATAACATTTTTTTCCTCCATTAGGCCCTATTAGGCCAATGGAGAAATCTAGCAATAAAAGGCAAATGTAACCATACTTTCTTTAAGAAAAAAAAAATTATCTTGAATGTAAATGGATTAAATTCTCCAATCAAAAGACATAGCTTGGATGAAAGAATCTTTTAAAGACCCAAGTATATGCTGCCTGCAAGAAACTCACTTCACATTTAAGAATACACAGAGACTGAAGGTGAAAGGATGGAAAAAGATATTCTATGCAAATCAAAACCAAAGGACAGCAGGGATAGCTAGACTTATATCAGATAAAATAGACTTTAAGTTAAGAACTGTAAAATGAGACAAAGAAGTAGAGGGAACAATTGTAATGGTTGTAAATATATATGCACCCAAGATTGGAACATCTACATATATAAAGCAAATATCAACGGATATAAATGAAGAGATAGACTATAATGTAATAATAGCAGGGACCTCAATATCCATTTTTACAAATGGACAGATTATCCAGACAGAAAATTAATAAGAAAACATCAGACTTAAACTACATTTTTGACCAAATGAATCTAACAGACACATACAGAACATTCTATCCAACAGCAGCAGAATACACATTCTTTTTTTGTTTGTTTGTTTGTTTTGAGACGGAGTCTTGCTCTGTCCCCCAGGCTGCAGTGCAGTGGCACGATCTCAGCTCACTGCAAGCTCCGCCTCCCAGGTTCACGCCATTTTCCTGCCTCAGCCTCCCGAGTAACTGGGACTGCAGGCATCCGCCACACGCCCAGCTAATTTTTCATATTTTTAGTGGAGATGGGGTTTCACTGTGTTAGCCAGGATGGTCTCAATCTCCTGATCTCATGATCCGCCTGCCTTGGCCACCCAAAGTGCTGGGATTACAGGTGTGAGCCACCGCACCCGGCAGAATACACGTTCTTCTTAAGCACACATGGAGGATTCTCAGAATAGAGCATAAGTTAGGTCACAAAATAAGTCTCAACAATTTTAAGAAAACTGAAATCATATCAAGTGTCTTTTCCAACCACAATGGTACAAAACTAGAAATCAAAAACAGGAGGAATTTCAGAAAATTTGCAAATACACGGAAATTAAACAACACGCTCCTAAACAGTCAATGAGTCAAAGAAGAAAGTAAGAAAGTAAAAGGGAGATTAGAAAATACCTTGGGATTAGCAAAATTGGACACACAAGATACCAAAACTTATGGAATCCAGCAAAAGCAGTTCTAAGAGAGAAGCTTATAGCAATAAATGCTTACATAAAAAAAAAGAAAGATCTCAAACAACCTAGCATTACACCTCAAGGAACAAGAAAAAGAAAAGCTAACCAAGCCCAAAGTTGGTAGAAGGAAAGAAATACTAAAGATCAGACCAGAAACAAATGAAACAGACAATAGAAAACCAATAGAAAAGGCCAACAAAACTATGAGTTGGTTTTTTGAAAAGAAATAGAATCCACAAACCTCAGACTCAGAAGAAGACAGAAGATGCAAAAAATTAAGATTAGAAATGAAAGAGGAGACATTACCACTGATTTCACATGAGTATAAAGGATTATAAGAGATTTCTATGAGCAATTATACATTAATAAACTGGATAACCTAGAGGAAATGAATAAATTCCTAGCAATATACAACCTACCATGATGGAATCATGAAGAAATAAAAAATCTGAGCAGACTAGTAAAAAGTAAGGAGATTGGAATCGGTGATAAAAAGTCTCCCCTCAAAAATAAATGAATAAATAAATAAAAGCCCAGGACCTCATGAATTCTACCAAACATTTAAGGAGAAATAATATCAATTCTTCTCAAATTCTTCCAAGAAAATTAAAGAAGAGGGAATACTTGCAAAGTCATCCTATGTGGTCATCACTACCCTGATACCAAAACCAGACAAGGATAATACAAGGAAAGAAAATTACAGGCCAGTGTCCTTGATGAACACAGATGCACAAGTACTCAACAAAATGCAAGCAAACCCCACTCGGCAATGCATTAAAAGCCTCCTTCATCATGATCAAGTGGGCTTTATCCCAGGGATGCAAGAATGGTTCAACATACCTATAGCTGTCAATGTGATACACCACATTAACAGAATGAAGAACAAAAGCCATATATCTTCTCAAAAGATGCAGAAAAACTATCTGACAAAATTCAACACCCTTCATGGTAAAAATTCTCAACAAATTACATATAGAAGAAATGGACTTCAACACAATAAAGGCCATATGTAACACACACACAGCTAATATCACACTCAACAATGACAATTTAAAGCTTTTCTTTTAAGACCAGAATCAAGACAAGGATGCCTACTCTTGACACTTCCATTCAATGTGGTACGGGAAGTCCTAGGCAGAGGAATTAGGCAAGAAAAAGAAATCAATACATCAAAATTGGAAAGGAAGAGGCAAAGCAAATTTGTGTTTGCAGATGACATGATCTTATATTAAGAAAACCCTAAAGATTCAACCAAAAAATTGTTAGAACTAATTAATTCAGTAAAGTTTCAAAATACAAAATCAACACAAGAAAATCAGTGGTATTTGCTATATGCTAACAATGAACTATCTGAAAAAGAAATTTAAAAAATCCCATTCACAATAGCTACAAATAATACTTAGAAATAAATCTAACCAAGGAGGTGAAAGACCTATAAATGGAAGAATATAAAACATTGATAATAGAAATTGAAGAAGACACAAATACAGTCATGGACCTCTTAGCATCAGCAATATGCTCTGAGAAATGCATTGTTAGGTAGTTTTGTCCTTGTGGGAACTGTGTGCTTACATAAACAAAGATGGTATGCCCTACTGCACACCTAGACATATGGTGTAGCCTACTGCTCCTAGGCCAAAAACCTATGCAGCATATGTTACTGTGCTGAATACTATAGACAACTGTAATACAATGGTAAGGATTTATGTATCTAAACATATCTAAATACAGAAAAAGTACAGTAAAAATACGGCACTATAATCTTAGGGGACCAACCCCACAGACTGTCAACATTCCTGCTCGGTGACTATCAAGGGGCATGGAGATCAAGCCCTGAACAGAGATGTTTGTTGAAATAATAAGAAAAAATGAACTCTCTGAAGGAAAGAACACTAAAGAGAGGCACGAAGGAGGCAGGTGTTTGTCTTAGCTCTGCCTACATGTGGGATGAGAGGGGGCAAGCAAACTGGCAGGTAGGAAAGAAAAAAGCAGCAGAAAAATTCGAGACGGATATGAGAAAAACCAGGAAAGCCTAGCTTCACAAAGGGAAAGGTTTTCACAAAAGAAGTCCACTGCAAAAGGGAGACTAGACTGTCGTGACTGCCGGTAAGGATGTCCTTGCAGGCCCTCGCAGAAGGGCTTCAGCCCAGAAGGAAGGAAGGAAGTCAACCTATGGAAGTGCAGTGAACGTGCTGCCACAACCAGGAAGCTGGAAGCAAGAAGGGGAGGCCCGGGAGACTGAGCAGAGGACGCCAGGGAACAGACTGGGCCTAAGTGCTCCTGGTCACAGAAGTGCTGGGCATCAGGGACTAGGGCGCAGTCCAGGCTGAGGGGACACATCAGGATGCGAGTGGCGGGTACCCAGACAGGAAGACCAGATCAAGAAGCACTAATCCCAGAATGCGGACAACAGGAGCATAGCACACTCCAGCCAAGGGTCTGCATTAGAACCCGTGGTGCCTGCTTCCATGGCTGATTCTAGAAGTCAGCGAGGAAAGAAGCAAAATGCAATAATTTTATTGCAATAAAAATGCAATAAAGCAAAATCCATGGGAGAAGAGAACAGGAATCGAAAAGAAGTTCTTTTTATCCCAAAGGAGTCATGCACATATTTGTTGCTTTCTACACCACTCCCCACATCCCAACCTCCTTTCTTAAAGGTTCAAAGCAGAAAGAAATGTTCACACCACAGATTGGAGTGACAGGCAAATATAGGTGATCTGCAAGAACAAGAACAAGAACACAAGCTCGGATTCTCTTTCCAGCTGCTTTTTCTCTCCTGCTTATTTCTCATCCAGAGTTGAAGTCTTTTATAGAACATTGTAGAGACATTTGGTCATTCATCTGCCAACAAACATGTAGTGAGCACACACTGTGTGATGGGCGTTGTCCCAGGTGTTTGGGCTACATCAGAGAGCAAAACGGAAATGAGAGATTGTACCCTGCCTTTGGGAGCTGACGTTCTGGTGGGGAGACAGTAGTGAACAATGGGCATAGTCAAAGGCAAAGCATGTGGTATGTTGGAAAGGAAGTGCTATGTCCACAAGAAGTCCAGCCAGAGAAGGGAAGGCTGCAGCCTAGGGGAAGGGAGGCTTGCAGGGGAAAGTGAGGTTGAAGCCCAGAGGTGAGGGAGGTGATGAGCTGAGTGAGCGATTCCTGTCAATTCCCATAGGAGAAGCACTCAGGCAAAGTGGAAGCAAGCCTGACCCTTCCAACTCACAGAAGACAGCCCCAAAGAGCCCAGTGTGCAAGCAGAGGCCTCCAGGAGGCCGGATCATGCCAGGCCTTGCAAGGGCTCCGGGGACTTTGGTTTTCCCTCTGAGTGGCCATGGAAGTGATCATTCTTCCCCTGGGTTTGGGGCTGCCTGGCTCCTGCTCTGCTAGCAGCTCCAGTTTCCCACCCGTGCCCATCCTGCGCTCCATGCTACTGCAAAACTACATCACCTGCATCTGCCCTGTCCTTTCTGCATCAGGCATCTTCCTGCACAGCTCACATGCTTCCCCTCCTGGAAGCTGTCCAGGACCATACCCTCCTCCAACAGAGATTTCTTAGTCCCTGGTACCCCTCAAGCCTATGTCTCATCCAGCACCCCTTGCATGTACTTCTACGTCAGTGGGGCCCTTCAGTAGGGTAGAATCTTTGTTATCTCTGTCATCTCCATACCCATTACTGTATCTGCTCCAGAGTAGGGGATCCATGCTTACAAAATGAATGAATGAATAAAAACAAAATGAAAACAGCTTGATCTAAAAGAAACCGAAGGGTATCAAGGTATGCAGAATTTCTGGTGGCAATAAAATCACCCCAATTGACATGGCCCCCAAATAAAAATGTAATAAATAGAACATTTCTCTTTTTTTTAGCCTAGGTGAGATTTTTTAATGTTAATCCATGTTGGACATAAAATTACCTAATTCTGTGAATTTCTGGGTCAAAAGAAGAATAAAAGTCGCTCACATGATTGTACCATCTTAAAGAGCATGCATAGTGCATGTAACTATTCATTTATGTTAGTAATAGCTCATACTAATGTGCTTACTGTGTGACAAGCCCGGATCTATGCATTTCACGTCAATTAACTCTTGTAGTTATTATCATCATTTTACAAAGTCTTTTATTTCTTTTTACATGTGAAGAAGCAGGCCCAGTGGGTACAGCTATGTAGCCTGGCTGAGGTTTGCACCACTGCAGTCGGGATCCTGAGTCTGTGCTGTCTTCAAGAAGTGCATGACCTCACCGCCGTACCACATCCTTATTCTGTGTGTCTTTCTCACCAGTGAAATGTCAAGGGCTCAGTAAGGTCAAGGCCGGGCTAGGATTACAGGTATAAGCCACCTCCCCCAGGCAACAACTGCTTCTTTATCAAGTGTGATATTGCCTCAGACCCCTTCACGCACCCTCTGCACTTAGCACAGGGCCCTCTGTGAACATGATGGCATATGCTCTGTATGTATGTTGTTGTTTCAAATTTTTATAACTTTGCTATGTAAGGCTTTATATTATTTGCAATCAAAATACATATATTAAGGAAGATTTCCTATGATTAACTTCGGAGGCGGGAGAACAGAGCCTGGTCTTGGTTTCCCACATCACAACCTTCTAGTTACCATTATTCATAGCAAAGTCCAACAAGCTATGGAGAGGACAAGGGTGGCCCAGGGTGGTGGGCAGGCTCTAAAACCACCCCCAGTGGTCCCCATCTCCTTGTGTTCACATCCATTTGTGCAATCACCTCTTCTTGAGTGTGGGCTGTAGCTAGAGCCTCACTTATAATGAACAGAATACAGTAAAAGTATTGGGGCACCACTGCCACAGCTAAGCTACAAAAGGGTTAAGGCTTGTCTTGAGCATCCCCTCTCCCTTGCTCACCCTGCGGGAAGCCAGCTGCTGTGCTACATGTGTCCTTCAGAGAGGCCCGTGTGACAAAGGACTGAGATTTCCACCCAAAAGCCACCCGAGTCAGCTTGGAGGCAGGTCCTGCTCTGACAACATGCTCACTCGAGTGTCCCTGGATGCAGCAATAGATAACTAGTGCACAAACTAAAAACTAAATAAAATAAATAAAAAATAAACCACCTCCAAAAATCCAGCTTCACTTACTTTTCATTTGAAATCATCCCATTTGACAGATGGCAGTCACAATTTTACTTGATGTATGTGAAGATGCTACCCAAAAGTTATCCAAAACTACGAGAGCTTTAAATGCTATTATTTAAGTGAGTTATCTCCATCTAGGGAAAAATATGCCTTTGAACTTGGCAATATGGCACATTCAAGCTAGAAACGACTTAGAAGACAAATAACAACTGCTTTTTTTTTTTTTTTTGAGACAGAGTCTGGCTCTGTCGCCCAGGCTGGAGTGCAGTGGCGCAATCTCGGCTCGCTGCAACCTCCACCTCTTGGGTTCAAGTGATTCTCCTGCCTCAGCCTCCTGAGTAGCTGGGACAACAGGCGCATGCCACCATGCCCGGCTAATTTTTTGTATTTTTAGTAGAGATGGGGTTTCACTGTATTAGCCAGGATGGTCTTGAACTTCTGACCTCAAGATCCGCCCGCCTCAGCCTCCCAAAGTGCTAGGATTACAGGCATGAGCCACGGTGCCCAGCCAATAACTGCTTCTTTATCAAGTGTGATACTGCCTTTGTTCAAGATCTGGAGACATTTAAAGCACATTCATTCCTTTTCATAACGAGCGACCATATTCTCGCTGCACAATGTCCCCTGATACCCCACCTTTCTTGGTGGATTCTCAGGGAGCTGTACCTTCATCCTCTGGCAGCAACAATGTTACCGTTGACAGAACAACAAAAATGCAGGTCAATGTGTTTAAAGGAAAAAGATTATTTGCTTTAGCTAAGGTGCTTTAGCATTGTAGTTTCCACTATTTGTACCTGGTTTTAACCATCCAAAATTATACAACAGCTGACAGTAATTCCCCAAACAAAAGACCTTTCCAGGCCTGAAGAACTCACAATCAAAAACTGAGATAACAAGTTATCAAGTGAAGTGCTTTATAAACATTAATACTGCCATGTGAATCGTAAACACTTGGACTTGCCTCATTCATGAGTTTTATTTTCTAAAGATGAAAGATGGTGTGCAATTTGGAAAAAACTCAAGAAGTAGGAAAAATGATCGATTTGACTTTGACAATTTACAATGTGTCAATATAGAAAGGGGGAAAATCTCTTGCAAATATGAAATGGTTAAGGTGGCCACATAACATTTGTAAAAATACTTGTGTTGCAATAGATATAGAATAATTTTCCTGTTACTGCACTATGATCACAGAGAGGTTTACGCACACTTTAATTTACCATTCTATAGTAGCTCAAGGCAGTAATTTTAGATTATGCTATTAAAGGTAAGTGCTCTCAGAGCTAAATTTTTGGCAAGATGTGCCCTCCCAGTTCCTTTATCCCTTTAGCAAGGCCAAACAAGGTCTCACTCTTAATGGCCTAGGCAACAGTGCCTTAAATGTTTAGAAGCTCCATTTCTACTAAGTGTGTTTTAATGCTCTTTATTGCCTCAAGGAGCTTTGTTTATTTTAACAGTTGCCACAGCAGTAGATAGGTAAACATTACTCCGAATAAGCAACTTTAAAACGAACTGACAAAACAGTTCTGTCGGTCCAGTAATTCTAGAAATCGTTTGTATCTTTAATAATTTTCTTTCTGTACGCTGAAGCAATTGATTGCTTTTAAAAGGACATTCTTTCAAAATTATGGTTATTTTATGAATAGAAAAAAAAGAGAAATAGCTACAAAGTGTTTACAATAGAGCAGGAAAAGAAAATTAAACAACCATAGATTTTTTCCTGAGGAAGCAAACCTGTCAAAGAAATGAGAGAAAGGAAAAAGGCTGTTATGTCACCTGATTCATTGTCTATCAGTGTAGAATTCTTTCCCCCATTATCTACTCTGTGTTTTACATCGGTTGAAACCGTAAATGTCTCAAACAGCGATGCTTTAGAGCAGCAGACAGTTGAGACAAGAACATTCTCTTCCTCTCCCCCTCTAGTCTCACCTCCGTGCCCACTGGCGGTCTTGTCCCAGGTGCTTCCTACAGAAAGTTACAAAAATTATTTCTTCAAGAAGGACAATGCCAGTCTCTCCCACCACCATTCAGAAAGGCAAGACATATGCTTACATACGTATTCTTATCACGTAGCACCTGTGTCAGATTCTTTATGCACACCAAAACGTGCTCACATATGTGTGACAGGAAAGGCGAATAGAGATATATTTCTTTTTTTTTTTTTTTTTTTTGAGACAGAGTCTCGCTCTGTCACCCAGGCTGGAGTGCAGTGGCGCGATCTCCGCTCACTGCAAGCTCTGCCTCCCAGGTTCATGCCATTCTCCTGCCTCAGCCTCCCGAGTTAGCTGGGACTACAGGTGCCCGCCACCATGCCCGGCTAATTTGTATTTTTAGTAGAGACGGGGTTTCACTGTGTTATCCAGGATGGCCTGGATCTCCTGACCTTGTGAGCCACCCACCTCGGCCTCCCAAAGTGCTGGGATTACAGGCGTGAGCCACCGTGCCCGGCCTACAGATATATTTCAAATAAGAAAATATGCTCTCCCATTTAGTCATGTTTTAACATTACATTTTTATTCTGAAATGTGTGAAGGCTGACAATGCTGCAGTGTGTCAGCACAACGCTGAACTGATCAGTCAAGTATTCCTCACACTTCAAGAAAGAGAAACACAGAAACATTGTATTCTACATTAATTTCATTAAATAAATTATTTAAAACAATGTGATTTTAGGGTAAAGCCTAAAGGAAAACAAGACTTTTACAAGATAATAGATTATAAGGACTTGTATTAGAAAATCATAACTACTACTCAATTTCCTAAAATTTTGAAACCAATCTAAGGAAAAAAATCCAGTAAAACCATCTTATTTATAAAGGAAAAAAGGCTTTGGTCTGAATTTTCTGCTTTTTCCAAACAACTGGAGATACTATTTGTAAACTATGAGTTGGAACAGATGATTACTAAGATCTTAGTTTGTTTTTTTTTGGCCATTAGTTTAAAAATTTGTTGCCTTTTAATTTAGTATACAAAGGTAGGATTCTGTTATCTATGTCAACATATACACTTATCAGATCAAATATTAGCAACAGTATTAAGCAGTATATATATAACTTCACATCATATATTAGTAACAGTACATATATAATTTCATATCAAATATTAGTAACAGTATTAAACAGTATGTCATATCAAATATTAATAACAGTATTAAAAGTTTCACTGAGTTTTCTAAATTCATCCTGATTGAATACAGTTTGCATAATTTTAAGGAAAGAATAGCAGTGCTTCTTCCTCCTTTGAAATATCTTTTAATATGCTCTTCATCATCTTACAAGTGCACCCATACAAAGTTGTACTTAAAACCCAAATCCTTGTGTTCAAGTTTGGCCATGTTTATCTTCCATAATTGTCTCTGATCTGACAGAATAGCACCACACATTGCCTCTCATAATTGCAAATGAGGAAATAAAGCTTTTATGCTCATACATAATTTCTTAAACTATCAGACAAATTATACTTGAAATTAGACCTATTTCATTATGAATATAAAGAGCCCTTCACTGAAATCCACAGTTCCTAAGCCTACCAAAATAAAACTTGCTCTCTTACCATTATGATGAATAAGAATAATTAGGGGGCCAACTGGGAGCTAAGAAAAGGTCAAATATTAAAACTGCTTATTAGCCTGCTCATCTTAGTGGCTTTGTCATCTATGGAAGTGAAGAGTTAGCATTTGTAGACTGGAGGACTTGGTAGCTTGCTTTGGTTTGTGTCATGGTATTTGCTGATTTAGAAATCACTAATCAGGCCAGGTGTGGTGGCTCATGCCTACAATCCCAGCACTTTGGGAGGCAGAGGCAGGAGGATTGCTTGAGACCAGGAATTTGAGACCAACCTGGGCAACATAGTGAGACCCCCATCTCCACACAAAAAAAGAAAAAACTAGCTGGGCATGGTGGTGCATGCCTATAGTCCCAGCTACTCTACATGGGAGACTGAGGTGGGAGGATTGCTTGAGCCCAGGAGTTCGAGGCTGCAGTGAGCTGTGATCGCACCACTGCACTCCAGCCTGTTTCAGAAGTTCTCTCTTTATAGATTCATAGAGATTTCAAGTTTGGGAAGTTGTTGCTCCATTTTCATTAATATCAGTACTTTTAAACTTTGAACCACTGACCTTGGTAGTTCTATATGTCAAAAACAGGTAGATACTAACACGTTCAGTTCAACATAAAATAAGGTGGGAATGGCTTACTAGACTGTGTTACAAAGTAGAGCATAAGTGTCATTTTTCATTTTCACAAACAAGAGAAATCAGTTTCAATCTTATTCAGTCCCCTGACATTCAAATGCCAAATGCTCATCCCTAAGCAACTGGAAACAGCAATGGAAAAAGGGGTGACAGCCAAGGCCACAATACACACACATACACGCAAAAACACATGTGCGTGCACACACACCCACACACACCCACACACACACACACACACACCACACACACAAAAACAAACATACACACACACAAACACATACACATATACACACCATACACACACATACACACACACTCACCACACACACACATACACACACCACACACACATACACACACACACTTGTATGGGCTTTATGTAAGCAGCAGTGGCTTTTTATAACAGGATTAATTTACTGCCTGCCATAGTTTCCTACTTTCAAGAACTTAGTAAAAATAGAATTTTTTGTAGACTTTTACTGTAGACTTTAGAATATTCTATATTATTCTTGGCAGCATCCGCCTTGGACTGAGGTGTGCATTAACACGAAAAGAAATCAATTCAACTAACTATAATGCAGTCCTATTTCTTCTATCTCCAGCACATGATGCGACCCAACATTACATCTTAACAACTAATACAGCCGTAAATTGATTAAAATTACTGTTTTATCTTGATGAATTTACTTTGACATTGTCTGCTTCTTCCTGGGAACATCCTCTTCCCTGACATATATGGAACTATCGCTTTTGCTTTCAAATATTTCTGTTGCTAGAGAAGTAGACACACCTTTTATGGCATGAATTCAGCCTTGGACTCTGTCTGGGGATTATGCTTATGATACCATACTAATGAGACACATGCGGCCTCTGACCACAGTGTGAAAACCTCGCTCCCAGAGCAACATCCAAATAGCAATGAATTGGATGAATGCCTCAAAATGAACCTCTTTTGCCAGATCTCTTCAGTCTCTACCTACTCAGAGTATTTGGCCTTACATTTCATCGAATCACAGAGTCTGTGTTACTGAGAATGGAGAGGGGTGAAAAAGAATCCTTGCAGGGACCAGTCTAAAGAGATGTTTCCCAGGCTGCCTCAGCCTTCTGCTCTATTACCCTTCTTTTCAGTCTACACCACAGCGTCATACCTTAGAAAGTTACGGTAGTTAAAAAATTGCTGGTGGCATCCTTTATTCAGGAAATTAGAGTAAGTATTCCAATAACATTTTTGAGCTCACTATAGGTGTTTCCATCAGCTCATGAACTTGAGATTGTTTGATTTTGTGATCACTAGATTTAAAAAATCTCAGGTCTCCTAAACCCAGGCATAGACGTTGTTTCACTTTCCCTGGCCCATCGTTCCACCATATATTTACGAAATGGTGCATAATATTTCACAACTCTCCCTGCTTTCTCCTAAAGTGAGGCTGCTTTGGTATCAGTGTCTACTTCCAAAAAGTAGGTATGACTCAAGAGCCCCTGTGAGTTAAGATGGATGGTTTAAGTCAAAATTCCATAGAGGCTAAGTTAACCTCCACAAATATCTTTGCTAGACCACTTGGCAAACTTTTACTGGGGGACAAGTAGGTTACAGAACCCACCACTCTTGGCCTATCACTTGAAAAAGTCAAGCAACAACGTACCCTTTTAAATGCACCTCCAATTCTAGCCAAACTCCCCTA
This sequence comes from Homo sapiens, assembly GCF_000001405.40. NCBI lineage: Eukaryota > Metazoa > Chordata > Mammalia > Primates > Hominidae > Homo > Homo sapiens. The sequence continues at coordinate 11,079,510 of NC_000018.10, forward strand.
TTAGTGATTCCTCAAATATGTTTATCAACAGGTCCTAGGCCACTTTGGAACAGGAGCTGTTTCCTGTTCATTACCGATTACTCCAGTCTCTACTCCATTTCTGCACACAGTAAGCATTCAGTAAATATTTACTGAAGGAATAAATTAATTCCTGCCTGTTTCTTTGCCAACCTGGAATGCCCCCTGCCCAACAGTAAACCACAAATTCATAAGCATCCTTCAAATTAGCTCAAATGTTTGTCTCGTCTCTCATAATGCCCTCATAACCTTAAAGAAAAGTAACATTTTCTGAATGAAAAAGCATGTCTACCAATAAAGGAATAATTCAGTAAGGATTATCATGCAATGGGAATTCTGTGCAACAGTTACAAAGAATGACTGTTGCAGTGTGCCTGGGCATGGAACGATGTTCACAATGCAACAAGTAAAAAAACTAGGTTGTCAAATTGTTTATAGTAGGACTGACCTATTAGGTAGATACGGTCAATATCCACCATTTAGAGGAAGTTAAGGCTCAGAAGGATGCACACACTGTCCAGTGTCAAGGAAAAACTGGGAACTAATCCCAGTCAGGCTGTCTCCAGATCCCCACTCCTAACCACTCCACACTGCTACCTCTCTCATCTACACAGAAAACACCTATAAAAATAACAGACTATTAACAGTAGTTGCTTCTAAGAAGAACTGAAGGGAAAACTATGGCTTTTTATCTTTATCATGTTAAAGTTTTTCACGATGTCTATGTGTATATTTTGTATTTACAAAATAAAATTAAATCTAAGGAAAAAGTTGTCTCTTCCACCTCAGAATACCCATAGCATTTTGGTTTTAACACTCTTACAACATCATTACATATGGCCTTGTAGAATTTCACCATCTATACATGCTACTTCCTTGATTAGACTGTAACCCCCTTAAGAGTAGGGCTTTGCCACTGCTGTGTCCTCAGAGAACCTAGCATAGTGCCTTGCACATAATAAGCCTGTGATGATAGTGCAGAATGAATAAAGGAATAAAGGGGTTACCTTCCTTGGCCCTCAAAAACAGAGGCATCAGGCCAGGTGCGGGGCTCACGCCTATAATCCCAGCACTTTGGGAGACCGAGGCGGGCAGATCATGAGGTCAGGAGATCAAGACTATCCTGGCCAACACGGTGAAACCCCGTCTCTACTAAAAATACAAAAATTAGCCGGGTGTGGTGGCATGTGCCTGTAGTCCCAGCTACTTGAGAGGCTGAGGCAGGAGAATCGCTTGAACTCGGGAGGCGGAGGTCACGGTGAGCCAAGATGGTGCCACTGCACCCCAGCCTGGCGACAGAGCAAGGCTCTGTCAATAAATAAATAAACAAACACATAAATAAATAAATAAAGCAGAGATATCAGAGAAAAGTTATCACACCTGACCAATGGAGTCAACGTCCAATAGCTTCACCAAATTGGTTATTCTGCAACATACCATCTGGCTAACATAATGACATGGCTACAATAACAATATTAAAAAGGAATTTGATGAAAGTGCTGGAAAAATAATATTTGGGTAATAATTTCCACTTAGGCATCCAGAAAGAGGCAAGAAACAAGAAAGTTTCCTGAGTCATGAACCTCTTTCTGCCACAAGAACTTAAGCCCAGGGAGGTTCTACTGAAAGGCAAAGGTGTGTGAAGCTAAGCTCCAGGCCTTAACCATGTTTTTCTTACAAATACATTCAATGCAAATTCTGTTTAACCACAGCAGACACTTTGAGGCTTTGGTCAGCTTGCAGGGCTAAGAAAGATATTTATTAACCACATATACAAAGAAAGTGGAAAAATACACTTTCCAATGCCAATCATTAGGAAACATGGAAACTTATCGCATGAGTCCCAGTGGGCAGCCAGGAGAAGAGGAAATCAAAATTGTAATCCCAGTCGAGCAAGTCCATTGATATCCTAAGCCTCAAGGTAACTTCACAAAAATGGAACTAAACCATGTATAATTTTTTTAAACATTAATAAAAGCTAGTTCCATCAGAAGTGCTTAACTAACACATGGGATGCATTGCCATGATTTCACTGACCTCCTGAGCCATCCTGGGGCCACTTCTCAGCCAGAGGGACCGAGTTCCCAGTGCTAACCCAGCATGATCTGTGGGCCAGGCTTGGATGCCTAGCTTGGGGAGCTCTGTGCAGAGGGAAGCAAAGAAAAACTCTGAACTGAGACCAAAAGTTTCCCACTGGCCATTTGAAAGCAAACACACCCTACTCAACTCAACTTTTTTTTTTTTTTTTTTGAGATGGAGTCTTGCTCTGTCGCCCAGGCTGGAGTGCAGTGGTGCGGTCTCAGCTTACTGCAACCTCCACCTCCTAGGTTTAAGCGATTCTCCTGTCTCAGCCTCCCGAGTAGCTGGGACTACAGGCACATGCCACCATGCCCAGTTAATTTTTGTATTTTTAGTAGAGACGGGGTTTCACCATATTGGTCAGGCTGATCTCGAGCTCCTGACCTCAGGTGATCCACCCGCCTCAGCCTCCCAAAGTGCTGGGATTACAGGCGTGAGCCACTGCGCCCGGCCTCAACTTCAGTTCTTTTTCTTTCTCCTGCAGACAAAAATGGGGAGGAAAGTTTGAAAACTAAACTTTAACAGTTTGGGGTAAATTGCATGCTGCAGCTACTTTATCAGTAAGACCTAACATAGGAAATCTAATTAAGACTTTATATTGACAACTTAATTAGGATGGCAAGGGAAAGGAAATATGTATGACAAATACTAATTTTCTTCTACTCGAATATGTACCATTTTAAGGTTGTTTCATAGATACATATTTTTTTCTTTTTCTTTTTTTTTTTTGAGACAGAGACTTGCTCTGTCACCCAGGCTGGAGTGCAGTGGCGCGATCTCAGTTCACTGCAAGCTCCACCTCCCGGGTTCATGCCATTCTCCTGCCTCAGCCTCCAGAGTAGCTGGGACTACAGGCACCCGCCACCACGCCCGGCTAATTTTTTGTATTTTTAGTAGAGATGGGGTTTCACCGTGTTAGCCAGGATGGTCTCGATCTCCTGACCTCGTGATCTGCCTGCCTTGGCCTCCCAGAGTGCTGGGATTACAGGCGTGATGTTTCACATATTTTTAAAACTTGGTTAGCCCTTCCTTGGAACAAATGAATCCTGAGAAACAAATAATTCTTAAAGTTTTTTTTATCAGAAAAAGAACTAGAGTATATGTGTGTATGTGTGAGTGTGTGTTTCCTCTGCTATCATCTGGAACGTGTTAATTTTTGCTGCAGATTGCCCAGAATTACAACCCCGAAACCAAAGTAAAGCAAACTCCAATATTCTCGGTTTTCTTTAAAAAGTACACCCTGGGACCTCAAAATGCCTCTCTCCAGATTGTAATGAGCGACATTGCAAAGGAAAAGACCACAATTTGATTCTATCATATTATATTAAACACATAGGATGCAGGAATGCCAACTGCACCTGACTGATGGAATCGGCAGCATCCTTTGAGTAGGAGGTGGCACCACCTTTCACAGAAGTTGCCTTATGGATGTGGACATCACCTCTTGATTCTGCAGAGTTCACTTAGGCCGTTGCTTATGGTTCTGGGTGGCCCATGGGAATCCCATGCTAAGCATCCATCACCGTTCTCTACCTTTGCATACCTTGCCTGAAGCTGGTATAAAGACAGACTTCTCTTAGACAAATGTGAATATGCTGATTTTACAGATGAAGACTATAGGGCCAAATGACTTAAATGTTTTAACTTCATTTTATGTCCAGCTACTCTAAAAAGCTACTTTGTGGTTCTTTATGAAAAGAGGGAAATATTTGTATTCACTTAGAGGCCAGGATCAGAATTTCTCTCAGAAGAGGAACTATATTTGTTTGGATGTTTTCCTTGGTAAATTCTTGGCGTAGAATGAGAGATCCGAAGGAGTCCAGGTAAGGGCAGAAATGCTCTCCTCCAGGGAATGATGCTGGCTGTGGCTTGGGGAAATGGAGGGGAACTAGAGAGAGGAGAAGCCTGTACACAAAGGGGGAGCCACTCAGGTGGTGCCAGCCCTGCAGGGCACGGTGTGGGCTCTTCCTGTGGCATGCAGAACTTCCAAAGTTACTTATGAAAGGCTTGGTGCAGAGTCTGAGGGCACAGAGTTTTGCCTTTAATCCGATGTGAGGTAGAATCATTTAGGACACTTAGTAGGAATCCTCAGGCAGAAGACTAAGAAAATTTGCAGAAATTGTCCTGAGATCGGTAGGCTCTCCGAGGCTAGAGGCACAACTAAGGTTCAAGGAACAGGAAAGCTTCCATGTGACAGCCAGCTGTATACTTGTTTGATATCAAAACAACCAGTCTCTTTAGTCAATTTTAATTAAATAATCGATCAATTCAATTAAGAGAAAGGAGAGGGCCGGGAGTGGGGGCTCATGCCTGTTATCCCAGCACTTTGGGAGGCCAAGGCGGGCTGACCAACTGAGGTCAGGAGTTCAAGACCAGCCTGGCCAATATGGCAAAACCCTGTTTCTACTAAAAATACAAAAATTAGCCAGGTGTGGTGGTGGGTGCCTGTAATCCCAGTTACTCGGGAGGCTGAGGCAGGAGAATCACTTGAACCTGGGGGGTGGAGGCTGCAGTGAGCCAAGATCACATCATTTTACTCCAGCCTGGGCAAAAGAGTGAAACTCTGTCTCAAAAAAAAAAAAAAAAAAAAAAAGACAGAGAGAGAGAGAAAGGAGAGGCAGGAAAGGGACCCTACTTATTTGATATCTGGTATAATTAAATGTTTTCTTTATCATCCTTTGTTGAATCAATCAAATTTTGTAGGGCATGTGCCAGGTGCCACGGACAGTAACCTGCTAGCACTGTTAGGCTACAAGCCCTTCTTTCAGGTGAGTTCCAGTACAGTCCTGTGAAGTACGAACTGGCATCATTCTTCTTTCAGGGAAGGAAGAAACAGGAGATAAGAGAGATCAAGTGATCCCAGGAGGAGCGGGTTGTGTAGCCAGAATGCAAAGCTCCAGCCCTCGCCATGGAGGCCCCCTTTCCTCACCTCCCACGGGCTTCCTCCTCTCTCATCCCTCCCGCTTGAATCCATGGAGTTGGCTTGAGTGTGGATCCCTATGTGATTTGATTTGATTTACCCTTAGCAACTTTGATCCTGCTTTTGTTTGCTATTTTCTTTACCAAGAACTCCATTTCAACAGTTTCAGATGATAAAAACTCCACCAGACATCATCCCACCAGCACATTAGAACTTCTCAGTTGTGAATTTCAGGAGATGAGGTTTGAGACACGACAGAAGGAAACACTGCTCCCAGGATCAGCTTTCTAGTACACAAGTGTGGCCAGGCCCCTCCTTTGCCTCAACAAGTTGTTAGAGACTAATGGTAATAACAATTATTGCAGTAAACCGATTCTGTCACATATCAGCTGTCCTTATGTCAGACACTTCACACCATTTGGCTCTTTGGTTCATCTGCTTCACCTCCTTCACCTGGAAGGTGGCTGCCATGGAGCAGACCTGTGAAAAACAGCTGCTAAGTAAATAAGTGAATAACGGAATGAATTAACACATGAATATATTTGTTTCGTTTTCACAAAGTTCCACAAGGTATTGTCATTTTTGTTTTCAAGATGAACATAAGAGGACTCAGAGAGGATAAATATTTTGCCCCAAGTATTATCGGCAGCTAGATCTCCTAGATCACAGTCCCAAGAATCAAAACTGGACCAGCCTGACTCAATTTCAGACTCCTCCTGGTTCCTCACAGTGGCTCTCCCCAACCCCAGCTACCTGGCCCCAGCATTCCAGACCCTTTAAAATCTGGACAACCCATCTCTCACGCATCAGGCCTCATCACAACACAGACTCCAGTCACCTGCTTGCCCTTCCTAAGACACTCCAACATCTTTTATTCCTCCTTTCCTTTTGATGTGCTGCCTAATTTCCTGGAATATTTCTCCTCTTCCTTCCCCCTGTAACGTATCAGGCAAAATGCAGCTCCAAGCCCATTTGCTGACCAAGCTTCTCCACTCAGCCCTTGCTACATCCAACCCCTATTTAGGGGGCTCTTAGTACACACAGGTTTTAGTGTTTGATGTTTAGATTGTTCACTGGCAATAAACTAAAAGCCAGTACTCCTATCTTGATCAATTATGAAATGGATCTCCTAACCTTCCTTCCTCCTGAGTCCCCTTCTCCCTTATCTATTAAGGCTGCAATTTCCTAGACGTTAACTGGAAGCTAAATATGGAACACCAGATATCACTATGAAAATATAGAAAAAAAATTTTTTTTAAAGCTTACTTAAATTGTAATGCTTACTGGCACTCAAAAAGTGCTACTTTGGCAAGAAAGGAAAAAAAAAAAACGGAGAGAGTGGAAGAGAGGGTGGGAGAAAAAAAGGGAGGTAGGGGGTATAATGGAAACCCTAATGGTACATGTGGTCATCTGAAGCCTGTGTACTACCCAGGACAGACACTATAAATTAATCCTCCTTCATTTCCAGCATCGAGTACAATATCCTGACAGAGTGAGTCATCAATAAATATACGTTGTATGTAATTGAATTGACATGACTTACAAAAAATTATATTTATAATGGCATACAAAGAATTTTAGAAACTGATATATCAGCAATGGGTAATATTAAAATTATTGGTGTCATAAAAATTAATGTGAAGCTGACTTTTTAAAACGGTGTCTTATTTATCCTAATGATACGAAAATTCGACAGAGAAATCTCAAAACAGGGCCGGGCGCAGTGGCTCATGCCTGTAATCCCAGCACTTTGGGAGGCTGAGGCAGGCAGATCATGAGGTCAGGAGATCGAGACCATCCTGGCTAACACGGTGAAACCCCGTCTCGACTAAAAATACAAAAAATTAGCCGGGCGTGGTGCGGGCGCCTGTAGTCCCAGCTACTCAGGAGGCTGAGGCAGGAGAATGGCCTGAACCCGGGAGGCGGAGCTTGCAGTGAGCCGAGATCCCGCCACTGCACTCCAGCCTGGGCAACAGAGCGAGACTCCGTCTCAAAAAAAAAAAAAGGTTCTTTAAGTCTCAAAACAGGCTAATGAGACTGATAAATAAGTGCAAAGCATACAGGAGGAAAACTGTATTGTTATGAAATATCCACACAAATTTACAAATCTGTCAGGACTTATTCTGAAGGAATTGATAGATATGAAAAACACTACTATATTGTGATAATGGATCCCTGCTGCTCCAGCCAAACTTTCTTACAATAAAAAAGAGACACATAAATAATTTCGGGTTTTTTTTTTTAACAGGAAGAGGAGCTAAAAATGTCATATTTAAAGGAAACAGGATTTTTAATTCAAAACCGTTCCTCAACCTCCAAGGTTTTTTTCCGCAGAAAACAAAATGCCTGTCATGTATGTTTTAGATTAAAATGAGTGGCCAATCCCATGTGTAGCATGGCAAGAAATTGGCCAAATCCACCTGCTATGTTCTGAATGTTTGTGTCCCCCCAAAATTCCTATGTTGAATCCTAATCCTCAAAGTGATGGTGTTAGGTGGAGCTGTTGGGAGGTGATGAGGTCATACACGTGGAGTCCTTGTGAGTGGGATACGTGCCCTTATAAAAGAGACTCCAGGGGACTCCCTTTTTCCACCCTGTGAGGACACAGCAAGGGGGGCTGTCTATGAACCAGGAAATGGACTCTCACCAGACACTGAATCGGCTGGTGTCTATACCTCAGGCTTCCCAGCCAGAAGTGTGAGAAATAAATGTCTGTTGTTTATAAGCTGCTCAGTCTTTGAAATTTACTTACAGAGGCAGGAACAGACAATGACACCACCCTTAGTGTCATTTTCATCCCTGCACACTGTCAGATCTTGGATTATGCTAGCCCAGGGCCAGTCCACCTTCTCTGCAGGCAGCATCCCCTGTAACATAAGCATCTCTCTCCCAAGCAATGCACTTGGCTTTTCTTCATTTTAATCTAAATATATTTATCTGAGTATAGATAATAAAAATATTTTTCCTGTGCAAATGGGTAAGAACACAGTGTGGTTCTCAAGAAGCTTATGACCTCAATGTCCAGTGGGAAGATCAGCTTTAAGCTCTGGTGTTTCCTGTGAACATTGATAATTTTATTTCCCACCTTGTTTATGTGCCCCTTAACATCACCTAATCACTCTGCATTTTCCTTCCCTCCCTTATTCTTTCCCACAGTTTTTCATCAAGATCAACTAAAATCGTCATTTCAGGTTTTCACATGTGCTTCTGTCTACCTCCGTAACGTTTTCAACTTTCTCCAAGGGAAGCTACTCCAATGTTTGAATCAAGGCACGCCAATCAAGTGGGCTTGTGCACTGCACAGGCTGAGCACGGTGCCTGCCTTTCCTCCTGCCACCCTCCAAGCACTCACAGAACTTCAGGCACAACAGCCTGCTTGCAGTCCCTGCTGCTTTTGCTTCATTTCTGTTTCTCTGTTCACCTTCAAATGAAGAATGCTGCTTCCTACATTTCCTTTGTGATGCCACTCACATATATCCTTCAAGAAGTCACTGCTTGGACGCAGACTGCTGAGGGAGGCACTTCCTTGTCTCTGCTCCCCCTGGACCTTAGGCAGACCTCAATGTATACTTGGGACACTTGAACTATTTGGTTACAAGTCTTTTCCCTACCCCCACAATTATAAGCCCCTGCAGGCAGAGACTATGGTCTATTCATTCCTGTCTCCCCAGGAAATTAATGCAGAGGAGGTCCTGAAATGAATGCATGAAAAGTGGGTTACCAAGTCTCAGTAAGCAGAGGACAGAGCTCCCACTCTGACTCTCTTCTAAAAGCTGCTTTACTGAGGAAACATAGATGAAAAAAAAGTGCCACAACACATTTCTTAAATGAGAAATTCAGAAAATTCTCTGTGACTTCCTATTCATTGGATTTCTATTTTAAACAACACTTCACCTCTGCAATGCAGAAACAAGGGATATTCATAGGAGAACCCCTTAAGGTCCTAACATGCTCTGATTGAATTGTATTGATCAGTTTTCCTATGTTCTAGTTTTTTAAATTCTTTGATCACTAGCATTATTAATGTGTTAATTGTTTTCTTTATCAAATGTACCGTTTCTCACATCCAGGCAGAACACAGAAGGTTCCCTTAAATTGTGGGACTGAAGAGAGTGTAATGAAGGGGTGATATTGATTGGTGTAGTCTAGGTTTAGAAGAAGCTACAAAGGAGACTAGAGAACCACAGGGTTATCAACGGTGGCAACCATTAGCACCCTATCTCCCATCAACCCCCATTGGCTAAACCCAGTCAGAAGCCAGAAGGCAGAAGGGCATCTTAGTGCAACCCATACAGGCCAGCCTCATAACTCACACCAAGGGGGCTCATGGTCTGGAGAAGCAAATGGAAAATATCCAACCACAGTGACTGAGACTGGGGATGAAGACCAGGAGGTGTAAAGAAATGGACTCCAAATGGGAATTAGCCAGGTAACCATGCAAAGAACAGTTTAAATTACCATAGAAACCACTTTTCTAGTGTACTGTTTATCTATCAGTAACAGCAGTTATCAGTCTGTCTAGGGTTCGTATGTGCATGTGTGCATCCTCTTTACTAGTCAGGGGTCCTTACAACTGGCCACAGGTCAGAATCTTTGGGGCGGTCCCCTCCACACCTCCTGAGTCCAAATCCTCAGGAGTAGCACCTCAATGACTACATTTTCCCAAAGCATTCCAGGCAATTTAGATATGTATCATGGTTGATAACCACCCCCTAAGCTCTCAGGGCTCAATTCATCTTAATCTGTCTTGACAACAGAATGCTTAGGCTTATCGAGTAAGACTTAAAACCTGTTGCTGAATTCAGTTAACACAGGCGAAATCAATGTGTCATCAAGCACTTTCAACAGAAAAGATGTAATTGAGTTTAATAATTGAGCTCAAGGTATCATTCACTTCACTAAAAGATAAGCAACCAAGCAGTGATGACAGGTAATGTGCCTGCCCAAACTCTTGAAATTTGTTTTAAGAGATAAGCTTGTATAACTGAGTTTCAAATGAAGACAGGCAAGGAGGGCAGCCATTCCTCTTCCAAGGAATAAAACCTCCAACCGGCATTTCTGAACACTGTGTGGTAGGCACGCGTTAAATCCCCATCAACTCCATTACAGGATTTTCCAATTGAGCACACAATGTATCCAGCTGGTAGCACAAGATGTTGACAGACAGAGTGTCCATCTCCTCAAACATTCTGTCTTAGGCACAAATGCTTTGCAGGGGTCCTCAGGAGGAAAAGGAGACGCCACATCTGCAGTCTCTGAGGAGGTGAGTACAAGTCAAATACAAACCTCTTCCAGCTCTGTCCAACGAGCATTTCCTGTCTTAGCCCCTTCCTGCAGCCCTGACCTAGCCTCTGATAAAAGTCCAGGCCATTTCGAGGCCTATGAAGAGAACCGATTGATCTCACGAGTTTCTAATTCCTCTTCTCCTTACAGAGAAGGGAAGAGCATAAGAGTGTAATCAGAGATTCTAAAGTGGGCTTCACAGTATTGACCAGCCAGCAGGGCTCTTCTGAGAGAAGGGTAGGAAGGGAGAGCAGGAAGCCTGACAACCCGGATGCTGGATTCTGCCGGTTTCTGTGCCTCTTGCTCAGCTCAGCGCAAGGTTCCTCTTTTCTATGGATTCTCCATCACAGAGCATCTGTAACTGTAACGGTGCCTTTTCCTGGAACAAAACAGAGGTCCTCTCTGACCTTTGATAGGCTGGCTGCCAAACTTTATCTGCCAGATTAAATGACAAGAAAGAAATAAAAGAGAGAGAGAGAAGGAAGAAGGAGGGAAAGAAAAAAGGGAGGGAGGGAGAAAGGAATACAAACTGCTGGGCAAAAAAACAAAGTGAAACATAAGTATCTATATTTGGCTTTAAGCTCCGAAATAGAAGTGAATGAGAGGCCACTCAATGCAGGATGCACCAAATTTGACACAGTCTAATGGGTTTACAATACCCACTGACCAGACTGACCAAATGCTATGGAAACCTATTTCCAACCTGAAAGGGTAGGGGTGGTCGGTAGTGGGGAGGGCAAAGGAAGTCAATTACTTCTGGGCAAACTGCCCAGTAAGCTTAAAGTATAAATACAAGGCAAAAAATAAATGCACAACCATGTTATCTTTCCAATCAGATTTTCACAAACACATCCCCCACTTCCTTTAAGAGAAGGGCGATTCACGAGGTCAGGAGATCAAGACCATCCTGGCTAACACGGTGAAACCAGTCTCTACTAAAAAAACACAAAAAACTAGCTGGGCGTGGTGGCGGGCGCCTGTAGTCCTCAGCTACACGGGAGGCTGAGGCAGGAGAATGGTGTGAACCCGGGGGGGCAAAGCTTGCAGTGAGCCGAGATCGCGCCACTGCACTCCAGCCTGGGCGACAGAGCGAGACTCCGTCTAAAAAAAAAAAAAAAAAAAAGTAGATGTGGGGCACATTGCTCTTTAAAAAGCGGCACTGTACATTTGCATAGAGAAGACCAATTTGTAAAGATAAGAAATTCACAAATATAGTGCTTCTAATATCACTATGCTAGTGTATATGAAATGTCACCTCTCTAACCTCTGTTTGAAATTTAATAAGAAATATTCAGGCCCGGCGCAGTGGCTCATGCCTGTAATCCCAAAACCTTGGGAGGCCAAGGTGGGCGGATCACGAGGTCAGGAGTTGAAGAACAGCCTGGCCAGCATGATGAAACCCCGTCTCTACTAAAAATACAAAAATTAGCCGTGCATGGTGGCACGCGCCTGTAATCCCAGCTACTCAAGAGGCTGAGGTAGGAGAATCACTTGACCCCGGGAGGCGGAGGTTGCAGTGAGTCCAGATGGTGACAGAGCACTCCAGCCTGGGCAACACAGCAAGACTCCGTCTCAAAAAAAAAAAAAAAAGAAAAAAAGAAAAAGAAAGGAAAAGAAAAGAAATATTTTCTACTAAATGTATAGGTATAATGAAGAAAAGCTGTAAGAATGGTAGCTTTTGAGCACTGGCATTAATAAAAGATTTTTACATTGAAAAAATTATTTTTAGACAAATTACTTAACAAACAAGTGATTGAACAAAACGTCATTTGGTGTGATTCTGGCTCTGTTATCTCATCTACAAAATAGGGATAAGAAGGCTAACTATTTCATGGATGATAGGGTGGGGGTTCAATGAGATGCCAGCCCATGTCTGGCATACGGCTTGTCCATCTTGAGCGCTAGAAAGGGGTTTGTTCTTGTTCATAGTGTTGTTGTTTTTATTGGAAATATGTTCTCTGGGATAAAGGTTTGTTCATTGCCAACTCACTGACTTAGGGATTAGGAACTGAACCCCAGTGGCAGCAGCTCCAACTCAAGACCACAAGTCAAGTCTCACGTCTCAGTGTCACCACTCAGTCACAGCACAAGGGCAAGGCTCCGCTTTCACACGACAACCTCCTAAAGCAGAGAATTTCCTGCCACACGAGTCAGTAAAAGGCAGGCCGTGGTTTCCCCACGCTATTAGTGAATCATAGCCAGTATCCCAATAAAAGACTCTTTGGAGGGTGTGGCAAATGTGGTCTTTGATGCAAGGCTTAATTTCACTCAGAGAGGTGGCTAAAAGGGTATTTTTTGAAAGGTTGTCTGCTACCTGACTATAGAAAGAGATCTCAGGACAGAGATTAATGGAGCATAATTCTCGTCCAAGATCGAGAACACATCATTAGAAGCACTATTTACAAAAACAAAGAACAGGAAATAACAATGGGAAAATGGTTGAAGATATTAAGAAAAGTCCATATTATGGAATACTGTTCATCCATTTGAAATTAGCTTGACAGAGTATTTGCCAAGAGATTGTTAAACATAATAAATACAGAAAACTAAAAATACTATATTCCATGTGATTCAATTTTATTAAGATATGTGAAATGATATCTCATATTTGTTTGAAAAAAGCTATAGTAAGAAGACATAACAGCAGTAATTATCACTCCATAGTTTAGAAACGATTTGTATTCCGTGGTTACAGATTTTAGTCTATATTTTCTAGAATTAGCATAAATACTTTTGAAACCAGGAAAATAAGTTATTAATGTTAAAATTCTTTTTTAAATTCCCTTGAAAAAACCTTAGACACAATTTTACACAACCAAGAATAAATGTAATTGGACAAGGCAACCTGATCCAAACCTTGGATCCTGAAAAATGTGAACAAAAAGAGCTTTGTCAAACCAAGAAAGAGGGTCACAAATGAGTTGCAGCCTTGCCTTTTAGTAATGTAGCCTATGTGATTGGGGTCGGAACTGAGAACATTTATGGCATGAGGACCTTCTGTGGCCCCCTCATCCCTTCACAGGGCCACATATCTGTCCAGGGAGCAATCGCCAGCTCTCACATCTCTTGCTATTCCCCCTCAAGAACTGTTCTCAAAAAATTGGCTTAATATGCACGTAAAGTGTTCTTTTAAATCAAACCATTCTCACTTACCCCAAAGCCTAACGAGCCCAAGAGCTTATAATATCGAGTGTGTTTGAGGTCAGGGCCATTTGGTTTCCAGAAGATTTTCAAACCAGAGAATGATTTCTGGAAACACTGCAGCTTCAGCAGCTTTGATTACCAGTGATACATTGGAAGAATAATATGCTGTAGATTGTTAGGTAGCTTAGCTAAAAACAGTACCTTTTCTCTCTCAATTATATAGTAACCTGACCTTTCCACAAACCCTGTGCATCCTGGGTAAAGCGGAGCCAGCCATTTGCGGGAGTGACCTATACACACCCCTCAAGCCAGATCCCCAGCCAACACCCTACATGGCAAACCCTGTCTATCTAACAGGAATATCTTGAAGCAGTTCTAAAATCACTTCATTGCAATGTGTACAATTTAAGAAACAAACAATAACAATATAATTTTTCCATCTTTTTCAGACTCCATATAAATTCAGCAAGAAAACAGGCTTCTTCTGATGATGGGATCAGATGACTATAGTCAACTTCAGTTGGGGACTCTCACTACACTGTTCTACAAATTTTTTCCTTTACAAATTTTGACGTGTCGAAAGACGGATTTCTCCTTGACATCCAGTCCATTCACTCAACATCTTTTTTTTTTTTTTTTTTTTTTTTTTCTGAGACGGAGTCTCGCTCTGTCGCCCAGGCTGGAGTGCAGTGGCGCAATCTCGGCTCACTGCAAGCTCCGCCTCCCGGGTTCAGGCCATTCTCCTGCCTCAGGCTCCCGAGTAGCTCGGACTACAGGCGCCCACCACCATCAACATCTTAAACTATCTTAAAAGAAACTTTAAAAGTTTCAAATTGTTAGCCTCAGTGGGCTAAATCATGAAGGTAAGTAATGTTATCTTTTCTGTTCATCCCCTCAGGACCTATGGCAGAGCCTACCACACAATAAGCATTGAATAAGTGAGTGAACATTACATGTAGAGCAGCATAAGTCTCGGATAGCTAAAATTATTCACGTTTTCAACTGTGATAATTTGTTGGGGTTTTTTTTTCTTTCTTTTTTTGAGACAGTGTCTCGCTCTTGGGGCCCAGGCTGGAGTGCAGTGGTGCTACTGCGGCTCACTGCAACCTCTGCCTCCTGGGTTCAAGCGATTCTCCTGCTTCAGCCTCCCAAGTAGCTGGGATTACAGGTGCTCATCACCACGCCCAGCTAATTTTTCTATTTTTAATAGAGACCAGGTTTCATCATGTTGGCCAGGCTCTTCTCTCTACTGTGATAATTTGATTAGCTCCTTTATGTTCCAGCTTGAACGTATGTATGGTAGGTTAATCCTCCCAAATCACTGGGGAAGCCATTTATCATTGAAATTTTACAAATGGGGAAGCTGAGGCGAAGTGATTTTCTCAATGTCACACAGAGAAAAAGTAGTTTCAGTAGGACTCAAAACCAGGGCTTTGAGTCAAGTTAACGACTTTTCCACCATTTTACAGCTGCCTTCATGGGTAAAGCAACTTAGTTCTCTTAAAGACACAGGACCAACATGCAGGAGACTCAGACAGTTGTAGGTGCCTGAGAGTAACAGCAGCAAGCCAGCAACTCTCCAAAAGCAGTCGCTAATTAATAAGTGCAGGCACTCAGAAGCCTCGCTGTCCCCTCTCTGAAGACAGATGGCAACGGCACCCTGGCCCTTCCTACCTAACTCCAGCTGCTCTTCCATTTCTCTCAATAAAGTGAAGAAATTCCTTTTGAATTTTTCTGTACAGATTCTAACAGGAAAGAAAAATGGGAGCTGGATGAAGAGCTGATTATTCTATATAAATTATAAAATATCTTTAAACATTGCTTGGGATCATTTTCCAGTTCTCATAAAAATGTCTCTCCTTTGTAAACATTAGTCTGCAGATTTAGAAGCACTTAGTAAAATGTCCAGTGAGACACCACAGGGATGGCCTGACTGAAAGCCATCTGAGGAACTCTGTCCCCTCTTCCTACAGCTCCAAAAGCCACCCGCTGGAAGGGGGCCCCAGGGCCATTTTCAGTGTGCCATTGAAACTATGCCACCAAGTGTGGGGGTGGAAGGAGCCTGCTGCAGCCCTGTACACTGGCAAAGCTTGCCCCACATCAAAGGGCTCTCATTCCTGCCAGGGAGACACTGATTGAGTTCTTTTGAATGGCGGAGAGATTCCCAAGTTTGCTACATGGAATGAGTGAAAATGGCCATTAATTGCTGAGCCTCAGAACTCAGGTAGACCATTCTTATTCCATTGATAGGTCACAGATATAAACAAAAACCTTATCAGCACTTGGACTTGAAGTCTAGACATTGGCTGCCTTCTCATTTCTCTTGGAATCCAGTGAGAAATAAATAATACTCCCTTTCTTGCCATGCCAGGAAGACACAAGCTACTTACGAAGAAAGACACCATTGACTCAGTGTTTTGGAATCACGGTGTGCGTAACCTAAGAGAGACCCTATGCACTACACTGGCACAGCTTTCATTTGCAACGTGAAGCGAGTTGCCCCAAGTCAGACCTCAGTTAGAACACAGGTCAACATTGGCTCTGCCCCCACTGCAGCCCACACTTTGGCTTCACCTCCCATTTTTAGAGTTAATGCAACATGTTGGCCAAAGATATTTCTTAAGAGTGCATAAAACATAACAAAGTCATCTAACACTAGTGAAAATTATTTTATTCATACCAAGCAAGGATCAAAAGGGACTGGGAAATAAATAGGCATATCCTGTTTTGTGGTTTATAAAAGTTAATAACCTCAACATGAACCCCTACTTCATATGATTCCTGGATCCTAACTCAGGACTTCAACCGATTTGGAAGCTTTTGTCTAAATAGCCCTGAAATCCCCCGATGCAGATGATCAGAGAGATAGAAATGAATCAGTTTCCCCTTCCATTTACTGGTCCCCATGACTTCCAAAAATAATACTCTGGCCCAGCTGTTGAGTAAGGCCTTAAGTTTATTTGTAGTTAGTTGAAGGAGAAGACTATAAATTAAATTCAGATGCTGTCAGGGAGAAATATCACTTCTTCCAAATTCAACACTGAAAAACCTTTCTTGTGTGTGTGCCCAAGGAGAGACTATGAGAGGGAGGCAGCTTTGCCTCCACTGCATGGAAAGGGCTTGGAACCAGCGGAGCTGTCCAAGTGAGGCTTCCATTCTCTAAGCCGGTCCACATGGAGCCCTCACTCTGTTGCCCAAGGTGGCTGAGACACCGCCAGCCTGGCTGTGGGGTGTGGCCACCTAGAGCCCTGGGGTGAAGAAGCCATGAGAAGGACCACGTGCCCTTTGCCAGACCAAGCCTGTCCACCCAATGGAACCTGCTGGCCCAAGCATTAGGGGCCATGTCCTGCTACCAAATACCATTTCATTGGCTTCTGTGATAATTTGCTTGGCTTTGAATGCTGAATCTTGTCCAAAGGCATCAGGCTTACAAAGGTGGACATCAGAGCAGAAATCCAGGAGCCTGGTCCCGGGCTCCACACCTGGTTCTGCCTCCTAAGAGCTCTCGGACAAATGCCTCCCTGTTTCTGGGTTTTGGTTTCCTCATTGATAAAACTGAAATGACGCTTTACTAAGCATTCTCTGTGGCCATTCCCAGTTCTTTTCTGCAGGGATTTCCAAGAGAAACAGGAAGTGGTTGACCTTTAAATTTCTCAGATTTATGGCTTATTTCCTGCCCTTCACCCTCATCTCCCCCACCCAACACACACACGTATCTACCTCTTGTCTTTCAAGGAGATATATCTAAAAACTGTGGAAGTGAAAGACATTAGGAGAGAAGGGACAGTGAGTTGCCTAGTCGCCTACATAGCTCAGGCTGACCACACTAACATAAAAAGCACTCATTCTTCTGCATTTCCTGCTGCCCACTGCCAGCAAAATGGGAACAACATGGACTTCAGGGGGGTGGTACCACAGTGGCAGAGAATCACCAAAGGTGGATGCTTTCATCTGCAGCCCTCCAATCCCTATCCTGGAGAAGGAAGCTGGCACAAGATTTTCACTTGCTTTGTCTAGGAAAGATTTAAATGCCTAACGCCAGCAAGGCTTTTCCTCTAGGACACTGTCAGATAAAAATAGCTAATGAGTTAAGTCTGTCTCCAGTGTAGGACGATCTTTTGTATACAAGGCAATTTCATCCTCTCCTTGGAAATTGTCCCTGCTCCATTTTCGGCAAACAGGTGTCTGCAAACTACATCCCTCCGGCTAAATCCCGCCCCACAAACTAAGAATGCTTTTTATATGTTTAAATGATTGAAAAAAAAAGTCAAAAGAAGACTAGATCATGAAACATGAAAATTATATGAAAGTCAATTTCAGTGTCCATCAGTGAAGTTTTCTTGGAGCCAAGTCAGGCTCCTTCTTCTAAGTATTTTCTATGGCTGTTTCTGCAGTTCAATGGCAAAGTCTCACGACTGCAACAGAGCCGGCGTGCTGTGCAACGCCTGACTCATTAACTGCCCGGCCCCTCACAGAAAAAGTTTGCTGGTCACAGATGTAGAAGGATTGAGTCCAGAGTTTACTACAGAGAAAGCCCTGAACTGGGGAGCCCTCTGACCAGAAAACACAGGGCCTGGCCATAACTGCTTCACAGTTTGAAGACAGCAAAAGCTATTTAGAGGAGTACAGCCTAATCACCACCACCAAAACAAGTTGTCTTCACCTGGATGCTCCCCTTCACATATTAGTTTCATTTCAAGTCCTCTTTAGTAGATTTTCACCTGACTGTATTTTCTGTATACTTATTGTATGAACACTTGATTAGCCATTAGAAAGATTACTTTGTAATGAAATGTATGGAAATACTGTTGTATGGTAGATATATATTCCTAAATCAGAAAAAGTCTACCCACTGGGCTGTTTTCTAAAGACTTCTGTGGACTTCTATGTTTTGTCTTTATTCAAAGAATTTAAAATGCTACATGGTGGCAACAAAGAAAAAATGTGAGGCTTTTATTTTTCACCTCATAGTCTTCCATACTATGATTTTGAAGATTGGAATATACTCATCTTTAAAAATGAATTAATAATAAAAACTAATGCTCATATACTTTAATCCAGTAAACCTACTTCTAAGAATCTATTTTAAGGAAATAACCAGAGATAGAGGCAAAGATTTGTGTATCAGGATGTCAATCTCAACATTATTTGTAATACTTAAAAATTATAAGCAAGATAATGTGGAATAGTTAAATTAGTTATGACACTGTTCAGTAATGGAATATTGTAAAGCCATTATTAAGTATGTATTTCAGAAAATATTGATACTTTGGAAAATTCAGAAGCAAGATACACACACACACACACACACACACACACACGAAAAAATAAACATATAAAAGTAGTATCCCAAAATGTTAATAATGGTTATATCTAGGTGGTAGAATTATGGTAACAATTTTCTCTCCTAGGTTTCTTTATTTTCCAGTTTTCTAATTTTTTTCTTTACAAAGTCATACATGTTTTTCATAAAGTTTTCCAAAATTAAAAAATGTATAAAACAAAAAGAAAGTTCTCCCACACTCTATTTTGAATTCCATTTCCCACAAGTATTCATTATTAGCATCTAGTGTGCACTACAGTTTAAATGTATTCCTCAAAGTTCAAGTGTTGGAAACTTGACCCCCGGTGCAGCAGTGTTGGGAGGTGGGGCCTAATGGGAGGTGTTTAGGTCATGAGGGCTCCCCGCCATGAAGGCATTCATATTGTTATCTCAGAAGGAGTTTGTTTTGAAAGCCTGCCTATTATGACAGCGTGCCTTTTTAACTAAACAATCTATTTACTATATCAGTACATACGTATGTATTGCAGTCCCTTTTAAATTTATTTATTTATTTTGTTTATTTAAAAAAAATTTTTTTTGAGACAGGGTCTTACTCTGTCACCCAGGCTGCAGTGCATTGGTGCGATCACAGCTTACTGCAGCCTTGAACTCCTAGGCTCAAGCGATCCTCCCACCTCAACCTCTCACGTAGCTGGGACCACAGGCATGAGCCACCATGCCTGTATAATTTAAATTTTTTTTTTTTTTTGTAGAGATGGAGTCTCCCTGTGTTGCCTAGGCTGTCTCAAACTCCTTGGCTCAAGAGATCCTCTTGCCTCAGCCTCCCAAAGTGCTGGGATTACAGGCATCAGCCACTGCACCTGGCCTTTTAAAAAGACTGCAGATTTTTCATAGTTAACATGAATTATTTAACCAATTCCCTGACTGGACTGACATTTCACTATTTTTTACAGTCCTGCATTCAGAAGTCTTATAGACATATCTCTGCACATTTGTGCCAGTATTTCTGTAGGTTAACATATTAATGGATCATAAAGTATGCATATTTTAAATTTTGATAGACAATATCAAACTTGTCTCCAAAAAACAAACTTTGAAAATTATATATCCCACATAGAAGTTCCTTGTTAAATGCACCCTCACCAATACCAAATTGGTCCATTTATTTTTGTCGTTTGTTTTTCAACAGGCAAGATGTGGGTTCTTCTTAACATTTCAATTTATATCTTTATTCTTTTTTTCTTTTTGAGACAGAGTCTCACTTTGTCGCCCAGGTTGGTATGCAATGGCATGATCTCGGCTCACTGCAACCTCTGCCTCCAGGGTTCAAATGATTCTCTGGCCTTAGCCTCCCGAGTAGCGGGGATCACAGGTGCCTGCCACCATGCCTAGCTAATTTTTGTATTTTTAGTAGAGACAGTGTTTAACCATGTTGGCCAGGCTGATCTTGACCTCAGGTGATCTGCCCACCTCGGCCTCCCAAAGTACTGGGATTACAGGCGTGAGCCACTGTGCCCGTCCTATATCTTTATTCTTAATGAGGTTGATTTTCTTTTTATTTGATTCATTAGTGATTTGTATATCTTCTTTTGTAAGTTGCTGATGAATACTATTTTCTAGTTTTCCTATAGGTTATTTCTCTTTTATTCCAGCTGAGTTGTTATAATCTCTTATGTATCATAGAAACCAAGCCTTTGTTAATTATATAATCACAAATGTTTTCTCCTAGTATGTCATTTGTCTTCATAGTTTGTTTATAGTCTTTTGTCATAAAAAACTTATTATTTTATATTAAGAAAAGTAAGTGTATTTTAAAATGCATCAACATAATTATAGATTTCAATAATTATGTATAAAATGGAAAACTGAAGCATCAATTTGTTGACAGATATTTTTCTCACTGAACATACATGAAGTTGTGCAATGCTCTGTAGGGTAGATTTAAAAGTTTAGACTTGAAAGAGGTTTTCTACAATGATTCAAAGAATGAGTGTTTTGATTAAATACATCCATTGCCTTGAATCCACAATCACTTGATTCTCTTGCTAAAATAATTGATGTTTCAACAGAGTGCTCCATTTGATTTTTCCTTTCATTTGAATGCTTTTCCAAAAAGCAATGGAATTAATTATCACAAAAATATTCATGTATTAGAGTTAAAAGTCATTGACACTAAAGTGATGATGGAGAAGATCTAACAGGCTGGAACTTAGCCAACTCCACAGTAAATACCAAGGGCACCACATTTTAAAAGACGGCCTGCCCATTAACAACTTCAACTTGTGCCATGCCAAAAGGTGTTTCCTTCTCTCTCATGATGCTCCATTTGATTCATTTCAGGGTCATGCTCACCACATTTTCACTTCTTTTTTTTTTGAGACGGAGTCTCACTCTGTCGCCCAGGCTGGAGTGCAGTGGCACAGTTTTGGCTC
This sequence comes from Homo sapiens, assembly GCF_000001405.40. Taxonomy (NCBI): domain Eukaryota; kingdom Metazoa; phylum Chordata; class Mammalia; order Primates; family Hominidae; genus Homo; species Homo sapiens. The sequence goes on from NC_000018.10 coordinate 11,100,670, forward strand.
ACTGCAACCTCCGCCTCCCGGGTTCACGCCATTCTCCTGCCTCAGCCTCCCAAGTAGCTGGGACTACAGGCGCCCGCCACCACGCCTGGCTAATTTTTTGTATTTTTAGTAGAGACAGGGTTTCACCGTGTTAGCCAGGATGGTCTCGATCTCCTGACCTCGTGATCCGCCCACCTTGGCCTCCCAAAGTGCTGGGATTACAGGCATGAGCCACCGTGCCTGGCCCACATTTTCACTTTTATAATGCTTCAACAAATGCCTTTCAATGCCTGGGGTCATACGAAGAAGGGCAAAGAAGACCAACTTAAACTCAGGGGGTCATAGTTAACTCAAGGAATTCAGTGGGTGGGATGGCTTTCCCACTGGAGATGCAGCTTCAGAGAGTTTAATGGGCATGGCATCCCCAGGGGACAGATGAGTCCCATGTGGCCAGAGTCTGGTTCAGATGTTTCATGAGCTTCCCCACCACTAAGTGGAATCCTAAATCAGGTTCATCCACTCAAGCCCATTTTGGGCTCATTCCATCTGGGCCAGCCCAAGCCCTTTACTGACCTCCCTAATCCTCAAGAACACTCCTTCCGACTTCCAAACTTCCTCTGGAGTTCTGGGACTCAATGGAGAGTCAATCCTGAGGCCTCGAGTGCTGCACGTGGGTCCCCACGCACCACTTGCTGGCCCCATGAAGCACTCTCAGAGGGCCCCAGGAGCAGAAACGGAAGTGGTTCCCTTAAAGTTATAGGATAACATAAAAAACCTCTGTTTTCAGCAAATTCTTTCATTCATGTACCATTTTATACAAGAGACCATCTATTATAAAACACAACATTATTTTTAAGCACCAGTGAGAAAAAAAGCTGCCCAAAATTTAACATATCAATAATTCTTAAAAGACGTTCCAGTGTAGAGGTGTTGAAATTTTTAAGTGAGAAAACATGACATTTTCCCCCATGACATTCTATTTCTCAAACCTGTCAATTTGAAAAACCGATGACTATGTTCAGTGTTTATATCCTCACAGAGAATTTCCTAAAGCATTTAAGTCGAGATGGTCATTTTTCTCTTAGGTTATTGTTTTTTAAAAAATGCTAGATTGATAAATATCCTGAGGAAAAATGTAGACCCCGACCAGGCAGAAGGCCTCGGCTACTCCCATGCTAAATTTTTGGGACACACAAGCTCTTGTACTCTTGTACTATACTACTTATAAGCTATCAAATTTGAAACCACACACTAATTTGTAACATGAGTATGTAAACATTTCTGGATATGTTTAGTTTTTAAACCTCTGACTGTATATTCTGATGGACCAAAAAACATAAAAGGTGATTGTGTGCCTGGGGATCCTGGGGCCCTGATTTGGAGGCTATAGACTTAAGCATTCAGAATTATGCCTTTAATGTATTCCCTTTTTCAAAATGCTGAAAGGATAGACCAAAACCCTTCTAAACTAAGAAACAAAGAGACTGACCGTCTACCATGGTCCCTGGTTGAACAAACACAAATTGTGGGGTGTATGCAAGATGTGATTTTATTTTCACCTTATTCTAAATTAATGAGATAAAAAATACATTCTAATTTAAAATGTATCCAGTGAGCTTAATCTTCCCTTGCCCTGCGATAAAAACCTGGCACATCCCATGACTTTTCTGCTCTCTCTTAGATAACAGACAGTTTTTGGTAATAAGTTACCAGCATAATCTCAATTTACAAAGTAGAATGGTCTCCTCCTGTCAGTGGGCAAAACCCTGATCTGATTGAAGATCGAATCTCACCCTGTCCCCCACCAGGCTGGTGCAGTGGCAGGTGGCCAGCCTTTACCCTTATTCCCTTTCCTTCCCCTGCCTAGGGCAGAGCAGAGGATGGGGCTATGGGGAGAGGAAGCATCGGGGGTGAAGCATCATGCCAGCTTGTTTTGCGTCTGGCTTGGATCATCTCTGACACTTGCTCTCCCCTGGTGTCTTTGGAGCACCCCACTTCCCATTGGGCCCCCAGTGATCTGTCTCCAGAGGGAAAGGCACTGCCCCCTTCCAATTGCAGACTGATTCCCCTCTGCCCATGATTCTCCTATGGCCCACACCCTGCAGCCTCAATGTTGGGGTTCCTGGCCTTCTGGACAGTCTGCTTGGACAGGACTTCAGACTTCAGATGGTTCCAGGCCGGCCTCCTCTCCCTCCCAGGAGGCTGCCCCGTCCCCAAGGCACAGCACTTTCCAGTTTTGCCACTTGAGAGAGACTGAATCTATTTTTCCAGCTGTAATTTTAAAAATCCCAGGGAAGGACTCTCACTGGTCTTCTGTGGGTCAGGTGTCTCCCCTGAACCAATCACTCTTGGCTAGGGGAGGGGTGCACTAGGAATGGGACAATCACTAGGAAGAAATATTTGTGGAGGGGTTTGAGAGGATGTGTCCCCCACATAAAAGGGTGCTGATTCTTGACAATGAGAGGGGAGACATGGAAGCAAACTATGGATTTCTATCACATGACATAATTGTTCAACTCTGTGATTCTGGACATAAAAACTATGTGTTTTATAAATTGTGTGTTAGTAATTGATGCTTAGATTAAATAAACAACTTATACAATAATTTTGATGACCTTTTGACTAAGATTCATGCCCTTTAGACAGTTTTAACTGTCAAACAGGTGATCTGCTTGCCTTGACCTCCCAAAGTGCTAGGATTACAGGCAAGATTTTTATTTATTAAGAGTGATGGAGACATGACTTCCAAGATCCATTCACTCATAATCCATCCAAATGGCCAATTCATGTGCTTCTACTCCTAAGCCAGATAGAATCTGAACTTTAACAAAAAATCATTTTATAAAGAACATTGCTCTGTGTGATTTCAGTTTAAACCAAGTGAAGAATACATACTGGAAAATGAAAGGCTTAAGCCTTTTATAACAATCCCTTTATAACAATTGGCATCTCCATTTCCTTACTGAGAATTTCCACTGTGACCATAATCAGTGACAGGTCATAGAAAACTATGACTCTCCATTGCTTCTGTGCCCCTGGGTCTAGAGAAAATGCCAAGCACAAATAAGAAAAGCAAAGTGTAAGTTTCAACAAACTTTAAAAGCACACAGCCTTCCTTAAAAAAGACAGATGCTGGTCGTGTGTGTGTGTGTGTGTGTGTGCGTGTGTGCGTGTGTGCGTGTGTGTGTGTGACGGAGTCTTGCTCTGTTGCCCAGGCTGGAAGTTGGAGTGCAGTGGAGCAATCTCGGCTCACTGCAACCTCAGCCTCGTGGGTTCAAGCGATTCTCCTGCCTCAGCCTCCCGAGTAGCTGGAACTACAGGCACGCACCACCACACCCAGCTAAGTGGTCATATTTTTAATTCACTTTCAAAACACGTGGATCACTGAAAGTTACTGGTTTTCATGTCTTCATTTCCAGTTGAAGACAATAGTGTAATAGGATGTTAAAATTGGATTCTTCTTATCATAGCTTTCACTGGGATTGCAATATAACATATGTCTAGTACCAAAGTATGAGACGGACCCTGCAAATGCATAATGCACCAGGAGAATGGTCTATGTAACACTTGGAGCCCAGAATTTGGAGGCTTTTCACATACTCTGAGAATGTAAAAGGTGGCAGTGTGGGGAGAATATCGTGAGGAAGAATCCTATGCAGAAAGCTATGCTGTTAGCCCTAGCCACCCCACCTCAAGCCAGGAGGCTCTTTCTCCTAGACCAAGACAGTCTGATTTGTGTCTTTTGGATTTAGGAGACACCGTGGCCTGGAGTTTTCTCCCAACTAGGGATTCTGAATTGGCAGCAGAGATCAATGAACGCAGCTGCCCTTCTCTCTAGGGGTGGGGCAGGGACGGCCTCCTGGGCAGGAGAGAAAGCTGGCCTGGAGCCATCTGAAGTCTGAAGTCCTGCCCAAGCAGACTGGCTAGAAGGGCTGCCACATGGTCAGCCACATTCTCTTCTCCCCGTGTCACAAGGTGGGCAGTGCCCAGGGACAGCAGCTTTCTCAGCCTACCTACAACAAAGAGGTCTGTGGCCCGGCTGAGCCAAGATGCCATGAACATGCAGGGCAGGCAAGAAATTAACCTTTGTTGTTGCAAAGCACTGAGATGTTGGGACATAACTACAATGCAGTATAACGGCGCCTGCTTCTCTTGGGGACCACTCTCCTCCATCATGCTTGATATGGTCCAGGAGTGGTTGAACCACTCCAGTCCTAGGTGTGACTGGATGTGACTGGGTCTGGCTAATGAGGCCCCCTCCCCAGGTACAATGTTTGGTGCTGGGATCCCAGCAGGGCCACAGCGTGTCCTCTCTGGGACTTTCGCTGGAGCTAATGGAAAAGAGATACTTTTGTCATGGGAATCACTAGCTCGAAGTCTGTTAGCCTAAAATTACCACTTACTATCATTTGGCAAAGAACAGCTTGACTAAGCACGACACCACCACAGAAGAAAACATAGCCAAGAAATGGAGAAGGGGAGTGAGGTTTGGGTCCCAGGCCTTGCCATGATGGAGGAAGTATCAATAAATCGCCCATTTTCTTTGACCACGATTTGGCTTTGCTTCTGAAACTTGCAACCAAAAAGAGTTACACGCCCAAAGACTGCAAACCAATATGGACTCACAACGCCCATTTGACACACTCAGTGCCTTGGCTGAAAGGGAACTTAAAATTCAGACTTACTCCTCTAGACTGTAAACCACACAACTAAACTCGACAAGAATATGTTCCATTTGTAATAAATCTATGGATATGTAATAGCTCAGAAACGCATTCCAGCACCTCACATCTTCATCCTCACGACACACTTCCACACTTCAAACTACCACGTGGTGAGAATCCCAGCACAGCTTATCTCATTCTCTCCTGCTTGTTATGAGCTCAGAAAGCTTTAGGTGTGGGGTTTTGACGAAATGAACATACTCATCCTTTATCTGTACAACTATAATCACCTGCACAGTGCTGGAGTCTGACCACATGGTCCCACAGAAGCCTGGAAGCCGCTACAAAGCAATATTTCAACATCACGTGTCCTCTGAAAGCCTGAGCTGGGGAATGTTTCATGAATGCTAGTGCTGCTTGAGGCTTGACTGTAAAGCTCCGTAACCATATAAAAGTTATATTATAAAAGATAAGCAAAATTACGTTGGACAACAACCAGCAGCACATTTACATTGATCCTCTCCAGGAAAGATCAGTGGCTTAATGGGCCACAATTACTCCCAAACAATCTAGTCCTTCTTCTGTAGGGTTATCTGACTGATTTAGGTCATTCCAAGGGTTTCTCTGTTTATTTGAAATGTTCAGCTTTCACTTTTTGGCATAGGAGGAAAAGTCATTCATGAACAAATTCTTAAAATTTATTTTGGCCATTGTTCTCTTAAGATAACTAAAAATGCTACACTATGCTGAAACCCACTTGGCAGCCTTTTATTTTATTTTATTTTATTTTTTTGAGACGGCATCTGGCTCTGTCGCCCAGGCTGGAGTGCAGTGGTGCATCTGGGCTCACTGCAAGCTCCGCCTCCCGGGTTCACGTCATTCTCCTGCCTCAGCCTCCCGAGTAGCTGGGACTACAGGCGCCCACCACCACGCCCAGCTAATTTTTTGTATTTTTTTTTTTTTTTTTAGTAGAGACGGGGTTTCACCATCTTAGCCAGGATGGTCTCGATCTCCTGACCTCGTGATCCGCCTGCCTCGGCCTCCCAAAGTGCTGGGATTACAGGCGTGAGCCACAGCACCCGGCCCATTTTTTTCTTTCCTCTCTCTTTTTTTTTTTTTTTTTCTGAGACAGGGTCTCGCTCTGTTGCTCAGTGGTGCAATCATAGCTCATTGTAACCGTGAACTCCTGGGCTCGGGTGATCCTCCCGCCTCAGCCTCCCAAGAATCTGGGACCACAACCACGCACACCACCATACCAGGATATTTTGTTTTTTAATTTTTAGTAAAGAAGAGGTCTCATTATGGTGCCCAGGCTGATCTCCAACTCTGCGCTCAAGTGATCTTCCGATCTCAGCCTCCCCAAAGTCCTGGGATGACAGGGGTGAGCCACTGCACCCAGCTTGGCAGTGGACAAGGACAGTGGCATACAGTGAATGCCTTCACAAATAAAGATCTTTTCACAAAGAGAGACCAGCAGTGCTCCTTTCCCTGAAACCTCCTTGGAAAGAAATGGCTTGGGACTGTTTTTTGGGCTGAGCCACTTACAAACACTTAAGTCACTGCTCTGGAGCTTGCCACAGTTCCCCACTGGAGTTGAGGCAGTTCGGCTGAGAAACAAATAAGCTCAGGGACTTCCCTAAGCCCTGGGCAGATAGATCACTAAGCAGAGCTCTTGACTAGGAACTAAGCAAAGCTTCAGTTTGACAAAAAACGTCATTGGTTGACCCCCCCAGTGCACTTCTTTCTCTGATCTCAATGACCGCAACTTTTCACACCCTTTTTAGCAAGGGGAAGGGGAGGTAGATTAACAAGCTGTCTGAATTCTTTTAAAGATAGAGCCCATTTCTATAGAAATGGTGCACATCGATATTATCCCGTAGGGTTGCTGTGAGGATTAAATGTACGTAAAGGACTTAGAACAGTGCACAGCATGTCATAAATACAATAGAAGTGTTTGCTCTTATTATACTTTAAAATATCATGATAAGCTTCCTTTGTTCTGAAAGTATGAGCAAATATGCCAGAGGGTGTTATCAGATTACCAGCAATCAGGAATTCTGGGGTGATAACAGTAAACTGAAAATAAACAGATAAAATTTAAGTATTTGAATAAAATAATATATAATAATTTCATGTACAGAGTTTTTTTCTGCTTCTCCAAAGTAAAACATTAAAAAACTCAGTTGAATCTGTTTTTACAAGATAAATATCTAAAATTTTATATGCAGTATTATGTGGTTTACAGGAAAATAGTCAGATTTCTTTCATAGAAATTCTTCTGAATGATGGCGTTAAAGAACACTCAAAACACTGAGACTCACGTTTAATATTAATGAGTTTGAAATGCTGGCCCTGCCTAAAATTATTAATAAATTTCAAGGAGGCCACTACGAATCCCTGTAATTTCACCTTCTCTTTTAATAAATCATAAGGTAATTTTACATTAGGACGACAGGGTTGGAAGTATGATTTAATTATGAAAGCTAATAGTGAAGCCTGCAGCAAAGGGAAACACATCCTCCTCCCTGAGCATTTCTGCAAAATGATGGAAATCCAGAGCACATATTTGCTGCTTGGCAACGGCTTTAAGTACACAGTATACGTTACTAAACTTATATTCTTTATATTCACTGGTTCTGACTTTTACCTCCAAGTAGAGTTGGGAGAAAATCAAAGTCAACTGGGTTTCACAGAAACAAACAATACATAGGAATCCTCATTCACTAGTATTTGTTATAATATTAACTCAATACAAGAGTTAGGGTGACTTATTTACCACTGAAATTACTTACGAAAAATTTTCACTGGAACTCTACATCCAGTGAGTAACATCAATATGCTCTGCATTCATTCAAGAAAGAAAACAGAACAAAAAAAAGTGCCTCAAATTAAAACGCTTGGTATTTTCTTCTTAAAACATAGCCAGATTCTACCTGCAGAATCTTAGACGGGAAAGATCACAGTATAATCAGCTGACTAGGAAAAGCTGTTAAATGTAACATGTGTAAGAGTAACAGCCGGGGCCAGGCACGGTGGCTTACACCTGTAATCCCAGCACTTTGGGAGGCCGAGGCGGGCAGATCACGAGGTCAGGAGATCGAGACCATCCTGGCTAACACGGTGAAACCTCGTCTCTACTAAAAATACAAAAAGTAGCCGGGCGCGGTGGCGGGCGCCTGTAGTCCCAGCTACTCAGGAGGCTGAGGCAGGAGAATGGCTTGAACCCGGGAGGCGGAGTTTGCAGTGAGCTGAGATCGCACCACTGCACTCCAGCCTGGGCAACAGAGCCAGACTCCCTCTCAAAAAAAAAAAAAAAAAAAAAAAAAAGAGTAACAGCTGACATTGATTTCACAGTTTATAACATATTTTCATATATGTTGTCTGATTTTATTCCCACACCCACTGTGTGGTGGGTCTGGTCTGTCTCATGTTAGGGGAAATTGAGGTGCGAGGGGAAATGCTCGTGCCACAGCTGGTTTGTAGCAGAGCTCAGGGCTGGCAAGCTGAAGACCAGAGCTTGTTCCACTCTTCACACGGTCCCTCCAGCACATCAGTAAAAAAATACATAAATAACACCAAAGGAAGTGTTAAACAGTCATGTGGACTTCATCCTGCACAGAAACTCTTTCCAAGAGATTTTCAACAGAACAAAGTTATCTTTCCTTGGGCAGAACTTGCCCCCTGTCAGTACCACCAGCACCAAGGTGGGGGCGAACCCAGCCCACCAACAACTGCAGCTGCCAGAGGCCCCTCTGTTTCCAGCATCCTGGGCAAAGGGTGACATCATGTCAGAGAACTATGCATCCCTCTCCTAAGGACGCTGAGTAAACAGTCTGCACAGCTTACAAACCACACATCTTGACAACTCCACCACGTCCATAACCTCATGGAAGTGCAGCTGGAGATTTTATTAGCACTTTATGGTCCACATGATCATTTAAGGAGGGTAAAAAGCTCCAGTCAAAGGTATTGCTGAATTAAATCACCTTAGCAAATCTCTGTGCTATGAAAATCACTATTACTGGGCATGTATTTTAATGGCCGTCTCTGTTAGCTATTTGATGGGGTGGCAGGTGGGAGCTGGGGGGTGTAGCTCTGATTTCAGTATGGAATTAGAAATAGGCCAGGCGCGGTGGCTCATGTCTGTAATCCCAGCACTTTGGGAGGCCGAGGTGGGTGGATCACTTGAGGTCAGGGGTTTGAGACGACCCTGGCCAAGATGGCGAAACCCCGTCTCTACTGAAAATACAAAAAAATTAGCCGGGCATGGTGGCATGCACCTGTAATCCCAGCTACACCGGAGGCTGAGGCAAGAGAATTGTTTGAGCCTGGGAGGTGGAGGTTGCAGTGAGCCAAGATCACACCACTGCACTCCAGCCTGGAAGACAGAGTGAGACTCCATCTCAAAAAAAAAAGGTACTAGAAACAGAATCCTTAATGCTAAGAAGCAAAAATGTGTATGTGTTTGTCTATTCTGGATACAAGTGAGATGCTGAAATCTTAGATATACAGATTTTTCCACAGATCTTTCTTTTCTTGCTTTCCTTTACTGAAATTTCTAGTTAGATTTGACTTTATTATAGTCATCTAAAGTGGAACGGAAGAATTTATTTTTTAATCAGAAGTCAGACAGAAAGGTAGAGGGCTAGAATTGGGACAAAGGTAACATTTGACCATGTGAGTCTGAAAACATGTTTCTTCCATTTCCATCTTTATCTCCATGGTGGGTGGACAATGACAGGTTCAGGAGTAACTGCAATGCTCTCATTTTCCCAAGACTACAACTTGGGAAGTTTCAGCCTTTCCTTTTCTTTTTAAAATTCTTATTTAAAGACAGCATCTTACTCTATCACCCAGGCTGGAGTAAAGTGGTGTGATCATAGCTCACTGCATCCTGGAATTCCTGGCCATCCTTCCACCTCAGCGTCCCAAAGTGCTGGGACTACAGGTGCAAGCCTCCTCATTTTTCTAATAAACATACACAGAAGATGTCTTAAAAGGTAAATCTCAATTCTGTTCTTTCTTTTCCAGAAATATCGTTTTATTTAAGAAGACAGTAGAAAGATCATCCCACCCTGGGAGTTGGGCCTCCCCCGCATTCTGGCTGACAGGGCTTCAGCATGGGCGCTGCGGCCTTAACTCCTCACAAGTCCCGTGGGTCCCCATGTGACCTCAGTCCACCTGTTTACCTGAGGTAAGTGTCTGGGCCTTTCCTCAAACAACAAAGACACAGCAGAGCGGGGGAGTGGGAGCTGCCACATAACGGTTCCTTCAGAGGTGGACGGTGGTGGGCAGGGGAGCAGGTGGAGCCGGTGAGCAGCCCCAGGCCAGGCTAGCAAGTCAGTGGCCTCTGATGCGATGCCTCGTCATCCTTTCCGCCCCTCCCCGCCCCGGCCCGCCCGCCCCGGGTCTTGTGCTTCCTGCCTTGCCTCCGTCAAGCTGATGGCAGGCAGCTCTGGCCCACGTGTGCGTTTCCTTTGGAACACACAGTATTGACCAGCACAGTGTTTTAAACTTGAAGTATAGGATCAGGCTGGATTGTCTGTGGTCCACTGGGTCACTGCCACCCTCTCCTGAGGTCTGCTCCACACACGAGGTGAGGCCAGGATGCTGTGCCCCGCAAGCTCCCCTCCATGTGGTCTGCGTCAGAGTCCACCATGAGAGCCACTGCAGGGCTTCGGAACGGAGGAGAAGCTGAGATACTTCAGTGCAGCTGCAAATGGACGTCCGGGCAGACAGGGCAGAGGACAGACAGGGAGCCTCCCCAAGCACTAGGGAGGTGCCTGCCTCAGTGCCTACAGATGCTTCTTCAGGCCCAGGAGCAGGAGCACTGGGGCTGCCAGCTGCCACAGCCAGCCTGGGAGTGTCAGAGGGCTCTGACGCCAGCCCAGGACTCTGGCCGCACCTGGGTCCCCCAGATGGAGATCTCTGGGGTCTGTGAGAACTTCCCTGGCCTTCGTTTCCCATCCCTTTCAACAGTGGTATAGCCTGCAATCTCCTCTATTTAAACCCTCTATACATGGATTATCTACAGTGGCTTCTGTTTTCCTAACCAAGTCCTGAACCAATGTAAGACTTTTCATAAAAACCTAGATTTCCAATTTCTTTTTAAAAAATTATACCATCTGGCAAAACTAGGCTCACGTGGCACGTGGCAACAATAGGCTGCCCCTTCTGGAGAAGCATGCACCACCCAGTGGCCAGGGCCCTCCAAATCTGTGATGCCGTGGCCATTCTCTATACCACCTTCAGGGCCCGCCCTGCCTGGGACCCTGTAGGGACTTTAACTCAAGAGTCTTGATCCAGTTCTTCTCCTGCCACCCCCAACTTCCTCTCTCCTGTGCTCACATGACATCCAATCCCCACTTAATTGAAGTCGACAAGGCTTCTTGAACTGACACCGTCACACCCTCGGGGAATCCGTAGCCAGGCACCAGTCTGCACCGAAAGCGTGCACAGTAGAAACCTGGCTCCTTCCAGGAGGCTCCTTGTAGGTTAAATTATTCTTGATGAGAAGCAACTTAAATATTACTTTTAGATGTAAACAACCATGGATAGATTATAAAGTCAAATAACAATGTGTCTCTTTTAAGATAAAACACAAGATCTCAAAGAAACGATCTTCTGCAGGCCACTTCATGAGTCCCCTTGAATCCTCTGAGGTTCTGACTTAAGAGGGAAAATGGTAGGGGAGCCGTGAATGAAGTTTCATAGTCCTTTATATTAATAAAGAACTTCACAGCTGAAAGGATTTTAAGACTTTTTAGAATGATTAAACTTTAAAGATGGAGTTTCTAGGTTTCTGATGAATTCCTATGAATACAAAATAACCAGATACTCATATTTATGTATGTATTTCTAATTTAAGTAATCCTCTAGGTATTTTGTATCTACAGGATCAGATATTCGGATATTTGTAAAGATAACGGTGACTTTTCAAGTTCTGAATACCAACTGAGGTTTTTTGTTTGGTATCAGGAAGGTCATTTGAGTTTAAAATAAAAACAGTTATTTGAGATATTCTGATCCACCCATTTAAGTAAAGGCCTGGTCCAGTCATTCTGAGAACAACCCTTCAACGCTTTAATTAAAGAGGCCTACAACATCAGAATCTAAGTGTCATGACCAAAATATGTACTCCAACTCCATCATTTATTTACATGGAACTACTGAGAGTCAAGTCTCCAAATTTTACACTGACTGATGAGTCTTCTGTACATCAACAAAGTTAACACAGATTGGCCTTGGAGCAGCTATCGAAACCACATAAACATTGCATACTAGTCAGAGGCTCACCAGGGTTGTAAAGAAGACTTACACACTTAGTCGTAAGTCAACAATTGCCAGATTAGGCACAGAAACAAACCTATATAACTTTCTGAAAATAATGCAAGTGACACCTGGTGTTCTACTGTCTATTGAGAAATGCATAATGCCACAGGACTGAACTGAAAATGTGGGCTCCTTCTCTCCATCTGCAGTTAGGTCACCGACAAGAGGAAGAGGCGCTATGGAGAAGAAGGAGCAAGCCAGTCTGTGCAGAATTCAAATATCCTGATCCTCAGGTTCTCTCAAACAGTCTCTGGGCCCATCTAAGACTGCCTCCCAGGGTTTTCTCAGGTTCAAGCTGCTCTCTAGATTCAGACCTACAGGATAAAGGTCCTGGTGTGTTTATTATTTTGGTACCTAACTCAGTGCCCAGCACGATGTAGGCCTTCAAGAACTGTGGACTTGAACTGGCTGATTGACTCATGAAATCCCAGAAACAGACCTTTGGTATAAAGGGGCAATGTTGAACTTGACCTGGGCTTTATGCTCCTGGAAAACAGCAACAGTTAACATCTTCTCCCACCCCAGCCCCTGAAACCCTTTTGTCTTCCAGGAAACTGCTGACTGCAAAGAACTTGTCTTCCCTGTGTGACTTAGATGGGACTCACAGATGCACACCGTATTTACCTCCAAGGCCAGACACAGGCCTTCCATGTACTCAATCTTTATCTCATAAATTATTAGCCAAACTGTTTGTTTCCATTGACCAACCTGGACAAAATACCCACTAACAACTTGACCAAACTTTAATCAGGACCTTGACTCCCCCTTGAGCAAATAACAGGACAGCCCTCCTAAAGGGCCTCCTAAGGATCCACAGACCTCAGGGAAAACCCTCCGGATATGCGGATTCACTGTCCCATCCTTCTTCCTGCTCTGCCCACCCTCACGGCCTTGTTCACTCCTGCAATCCTCCGTATAACAGAAAAGCCCTTTCTTACAGACCTGGGAGGCCCTCGCAGGTATCATGGTCACATGATACCCTTACCTCTACCACAATAGTCTTTTCAGATGAAGATTCTCCTTACCTGAGTCTGAATTCATTTTTTATTTGACAAAAGGAACTACTCAAATATTAGCAAGTAAGTCATCCCCTTAGCACATTCTCTGTGACAACGCAGGCCTTCCTGGCCACCGCCCTCCAAACTGCCCCCGAGGAGTGACAAGAAAGAAAGATCAGAAGTGGAGGATGTCCACCTTCGTGTCCTTTCTTGGTGTGTTCTCAACCACATAATCCTTTCAGATGTAATTTTTTAGCATTGTCCTCTTTTAATATTTATCACAGCACTACCTTGACTGTGATGAAATATTCATGTAATTTCAATAGCTACGGCAAAGCCAAGTCTATGACAACGTTGTTGATGAACAGTGGAGTTCACTACATTAATGTAATGGATGCACTAAGTAATCAAATATCATTCCATGTTGATAATCTTCAAAAACTATATGCCTCTTATAATAAGTCATTACACTAGTCTGGTTGCATTACATAACCTTAAAGTAAACACATTAAATGTTTAGATTAAGGGAGATGCTATCACTCATGTAATGGTGCCTCTCTGCACAAGTTCCAAATTTTTGAATCTGACACTCAAGACTCTCAGAAACCTCCTCTCAAATGACTTTTCAAGCTTATCTACCTAGGACACTGTTTGTCTTACAATAGAGCTCTTTACAATGACAAGAAAGAGGCATGTACAACTGTCTTCACTAATAAAGGATTTTCTAAAGTTAGCAGAGACGGCCAAACGTGGTGGCTCACGCCTGTAATCCCAGCACTTTGGGAGGCCGAGGCAGGAGGATCACTTGAGGTCAGGAGTTCAAGACCAGCCTGGCCAACATGGCAAAACGTCATCTCTACTAAAAATACAAAAACTAGCTGGTGTGGTGGTGTGCACCTGTAATCCCAGCTACTTGGGAGACTGAGGTAAGAGAATTGCTTGAACCTGGGAGGTGGAGGTTGCAGTGAGCTGAGATCGTGCCACTGCACTCCAGCCTGGGCAACAGAGGGAGACTCTGTCTTAAACAAAAAAAAAAAGGCAGTTGGGGTGCTTTTCCCCCCACATATTTGAAAAGAGAGCTAGTGCCAACAGATAGACTGCAGTTAACAGGACGGGATAGAGAAAATTTTCACAGATTGTCAGGAATTACCACCAAGAGTAAGATAAGGCTGGAGGGCTTCTGAATCATCAAATAAACACACAGAAGCTCACTGGCCGTTTCTGAATGTCAATACTTCCACTGACTTAGCTCTTAAATCAGATAACTAACAACAGAGGAGCAATTTGTTTGACTTTGAACTAAATAGGCAAGCAGTGTTGATATCATCTAAATCTGGTTATAAGTAAGGACAATGTGAACATTCCTAAGTACTAAGATCCTCTTCTTTTATCCTGTCTCTCCCCAGATATAATGTTTTCCAGGTTGCTCTATTGTCTTCTATGTAATATTAAAGGGCTTCAAAGTTTATGGTACATTCAGACTTAGCTATTCAGGATTGACAGTTTGGTTATAGACAGTTAAATGAGTATTCATCAAACATGGAATTCAGAAACAAATACTCCTATATTAAGTGTTTGGGATAAATAAATATGTTCATTTGCTACACATTTGCTAATTGAAAATTGAGTTTTATACACAGTTGTTAAGTTTAAAATAGCCTACAAGAAAATGAGATTAAGAAAACATTACAAAAGAACCAAAATCCTTGTTTTATGTTCATCTCTATCTATGCTACACTTCCTAAATTCTTCTGAGGTCATGAAGGATAGGTTTTAAATTACTGCTGTAAGTAAAAATAGTTGAGACATCCTAAATGTCCCAAATACGGAAATGTTAGATAAGCATGGGATTTAATTCCATGATGATAGCATACAACCATCCAAGTAATAACCACAAAGCCTATGTATTGAGACAAATATTATGATATAATACTAATAAGAGAAGAATGCAGAATTTCACACATGTATAAAGTCCTAAGCAAAACATTTATGAATATGGAGAACATATGTAACCTTCAGAGTCCAAAATACTGCAAGAAGCATTCTATACTTTAAGAAAATGCTATGTTTATCTGAAATTCAGATTTAAGTGGGAATCTTGTATTTTTATCTGGCAATGATAATACTAGACAAAATTATTTTACTAATATAAAATATAAAATAAAATGCCGTAAGTGCTATATTTAATTAAACAAGTTTGTGTCCCAGTAGAGAGGGACAGAAACATGGATGAATGTTACAGCCTATGAAGAGAAGCTTTCTTCCTTTAAATGATAAAATATAAATAACATAAAATACAAGTACAGATGGACATTTTGAAAAGAAATGTAAATATCAATAGATAGTTTTAAGTTTTAACTGGTTTGGGAGAAACTTCTCAAACATGTTTTAGGAGGAAACATTAGTAATAAAAATGTATTTTCACAGTGTTTAGAGCTAAATAACAAACATAATACAGTACCCTGTAAAGATACAGTAGCTATAATTGCTATTTCCCAACATTCTTCATAAAAGATTTTAGGACAATTATGCAAATAAAAACATGGCCAGTGCTCAGATTATGCCCACTGCCTTCAATATCCAGCTTTACAAATCCTATCTGGTCTTTGATTTTGGAAATGTCTAGGAGTTTGGGGATCCCAGGAAGGGCAGAGTTTCTCTGAGCCCCAAAACCACTAATAGAATATGTGCAAGGGGCTCTTGAGGAGGAAGCTGCCCAACGGTGTGAAAATGCACCTCGACAATGCTTGGGTGATCTGTTTCTTGGGTGTGAAAGAATGAAATTTGCAGGCCGGGCGCGGTGGCTCACGCCTGTAAACCCAGCACTTTGGGAGGCCGAGCTGGGCGGATCACGATGTCAGGAGACAGAGACCATCCTGGCTAACACGGTGAAACCCCGTCTCTACTAAAAAAAATTAAAAAATTAGCCGGGCGTGGTGGCGGGGGGCCTGTAGTCCCAGCTACTCGGGAGGCTGAGGCAGGAGAATGGCGTGAACCCGGGAGGCGTAGCTTGCAGTGAGCCGAGATCCGCCACCGCACTCCAGCCTGGGCGACAGAACGAGACTCCGTCTCAAAAAAAACAAAGAAAAAAAAAAATCATTCCATTTATCTACTGAATGTTACTCCATCTAACTGTATAGCACAGTAGGGTGACTATAGTTAACAATAATTTATTGTGTATTTCAGCCAGGCACGGTGGCTCACACCTGTAATCCCAGCACTCTGTGAGGCCAAGGCAGGAGGATCACTTGAGGTCAGGGGTTCAAAACCAGCCTGACCAACATGATGAAACCCTGTCTCTACTAAAAATATAAAAATTAGCCTGGCTTGGTGGCACGTGCCTGTAGTGCCAGCTACTTTGGAGGCTGAGGCAAGAGAATCATTTGAACCTGGGAGGTGGAGGTTGCAGTGAGCCGAGACTCCACTGCACTCTAGCCTGGGCAACAGAGCAAGATTCTGTCCCCCCCACAAAAAAATTGTGTATTTCAAAGTAGCTAAGAGAGAAGATTTGAAATGTTCCAACACAATAAAAATGCTAAGTGCCTGAGGAGATGGATATCCTAAACACGTTGATTTGCTCATTACACATTATTTGCCTGCATCAAAATATCACCTGTATGCCATAAAAATGTACAATTATTATGTATCAATAAAAATCAAATAAATCAAAATCATTCTAGTATACAGATTTCACAATTCGATTTGTAAATAACCAGCACCAGGGATGTACCCAACTAGCGGATGAGCACACATTCTAGCCTTTGGGACCCTCAACATGACAGCTCCAAAAGCACTTACCAACTAGTCATGGAATTCCTAAAAGACACAAATAATGGTGTTCATTGCAACTTTTCTGTCTATCCAAGGAGAAACAGATCCTGTACTGATTTACATAATTTCAATGTAACACACCAAGTTCGTTTAGAATGTTTTCCGAAACTTTTACTCATCACCTACATCAGTAAATCCTAGTTTCCAAAGCCTAAGAATTTAAACATTTCTATTGGAGAAAGAAAATGTCCCTTTGGATGTTTGTATATGGGATCAAAACGTGGCCTCTATTTGAAAGATCCAGCTAACCTTTAAAACATGTTGGGTGGGAGAGGCTGTGAAATCAATGGGGCTCTTCTTTAGGTGTCAGTCTTCAGCGGGAGCATCACTGAGTCCCACAGAGGAGTATGAAGTCAGTGCCTTCTGCTTCCAACAGACTGAATTCCTCAAGGACATTCACACTCAAATACAGCCACTTGAAAGCCAAGGGATACAGTAGCTGCATTCAAAGAGGGTCCTAAGATCAGCATATTGGCTTCTACTCCTTTGACTAAGAATATTAAGCTTTCTGTTTATGTACTAGTTGGATGGCTAAAAGTTTATGTTGTCAGCACACATGTAACAATTTTTATGTTTCCTTCAATCCCCATAAACTTCTTGACACATTCCACAGAGTTGACATTTACTTCCACCTCTGTTAAGTTCATCATCTGTTCATTCTACTTGTGTAAATGATTCCTCAGGGTACAGATGTCCCTACAAATGGGCACCTGTGAAGCACTGCTGAAGCAAACAGCCCATGGTCCACAGCTAGGTCTTGTTCCACAGTGCATGACCTTGACTTCCACACAATCTGCCTCTCCAACGCTGGGACCTGGAGGGGCCCTGGGGGTACAGGTGTTGTCCCAGACTGGCCCTTCTTTCATACTCATTTCCTTTTTATTCCACTGCACAAATGATTGAGATGCCTGGAGTGACAACTCTGAGATGTGTTAGCGTCATTGCTTTCCAAGTAGCCTAAGATGAGAACAAACTATTCCAAGCAGCATCAGAACATTATAGAAAATAGTAAGGCAGGATCGATTGCATCTAACCTTTGGATCTCATTCAAATGCCAACCAATGCTGGAATGTTTCATAACAGAAATAATGTAAAAAGAGAAAACATACCATCAAGAAGTGGAATGAAAAGTATGAGAAACTTCTCACATGCCCTGATTTATTGAAAAATAATTTCCTAAGGATAAGTCACTGATACAAAGATTGGGAATATTGTTTCACAATGAGTTTTTAACTTAATAAGTTGGTCAAATGAAAATCACATCCTTTAGATCAGGTTAATTACAGAAAAAAAAACAGAGAGAGAGAGCGACGTAAACCTCTGACTCTGCAGGAAAAATCTGTAGTACAAGTAAATATCTTAGATAACGGTTGCAGACACAGTTAGACCCAAGGCAAGAAATATAGACACAATCCTACTGGAGAATTTTTAATTCTTCACCTTCAAAGCAACTGGAACATAGAAAATCTATCTTTAGGGACACTTATATCCTGTCGTGTAGTTACATTATTCTTGCAGTTTCCCTAGTAGAACCTCTAAAAGAATATGAATTGGTTGGGAGGAGGAAAATAAGAGAGTTGAATCTACATCTTCACTAATTTGTAGTAATACTAAAAAGATAATAAGAATAGTTATTTGGGTGAATGGAGGAAAAGCCACGGAACAAATATTTGCTTTTTTTTTTTTTTTTTTGAGACAGAGTCTTGCTCTGTCACCCAGGCTGGAGTGCAGTGGCCCAATCTTGGCTCACTGCAACCTCCGCCTCCTGGGTTCAAGTGATTCTCCTGCCACAGCCTCTTAAGTAGCTGGGACTACAGGCCCATGCCCAGCTAATTTTTGTATTTTTGGTAGAGACAGGGTTTCACCATGTTGGCCAGGATGGTCTTGATCTCTTGACCTCGTGATCCACCCATCTCGGCCTCCCAAAGTGCTGGGATAATAGGCGTGAGCCACCGCGCCCGGCCAAATACTTGCATTTGATTAAAAATAAAACCAAGTTATGGCTTAATTAAAACATCATCAATTGATAACTGCCCTTGCCTAATTATACTTTAAAAGAACTGTGTTTGTGGCTTTCTCTGCTAAAAGCAAAAATTTAGCTCTATGAGCTATATTAACACAATGAAATATTACGAAGGTAGCAGGGGTTTAGAGTAGGGACGAGGCAACAAAACTTGGTTCCAGAGTATAAATACAGCACTTGAACCACCTCCATGAAGCTGAGTGTAGCCCTTTGTTCCATCTAAACACTGCCTCTTGTCATAGCCAGTGCCAGATCACACTAGAGGAATAGATGTGGGAGGCGACTGTTGCAAAATAGCTTTCCTTTCTGTGGCTTAAAATGCATTAAACTATTAGTCTCAGAGTTTCGAACAGTAAATAAACAATAGTAAGAATATGAGAACAATGAAAAATCAGCCACAACCTGAAATTACTACCTAGTTGATACTTCATAAATTGCAATTGTTTTTGCACCCAAATGTAAGCTTTAGAGATCAATGTACCTCCATGTTATAATTTGGAATAGTCATAAGATAATCAGGATAATCAGTCTCCATCCATCAGAATCAGTCGGAATTGCACAGGGCACTAAGTCCTCCACCAATGTGGTCGTGTTGCAATCATATTACCAACCAGCATTCCAGACCTATCTGTCCCTAAAATGACGACCAGCCACAGATAACATCAGTCCAGAATTTGTTATGTAATACTTGGTTAATAAATCACCCAGTCTTCTTTTAAACTTCTCATCTGTTACAAAGCACCAATAAAATTATATTGCCATGACTCAAGGGCAAGTTCGGAGGCATCTTTTGCATGAAAAATATTTACCACAAAATATGTTTTTTTTTCTCAAAAAGATATGGTTTGTTGATTTGCATTGTTAGCTAAATTTTCTTTGGTGCATTTTTTTGCATCCTGAGGGAAGTCAGTCACTTCAGCATTTAAACAGGACAAATGCAGAAACTGGCAAAAAGAAAACAATGACAGAGGTTTTCTTGAGCACCTGCTATTTTACAAAGTGCCTTGGTAGGGGCAAAGGCAGGAAGACAGGAAAGAGAGGGTTTCGAAGCAGGAAAACAAACAAATGATTCCACACACCATGGAGTTAAAGGACTACTGAACAGCCTCTGATATGATCCCAAAACCTTAAAAAGAAGAAAATTTAAAAAGGAAGCTTTAAAGAAGTACCATCAATTTATGAAAATTCTAAATATTAAATCAACTGTAAATCTAAGGACATATCTTTACAATCTTGGCTACAAGGCTTTGAGGATATTCATGTAAACATGACTTGAATACCTAACTATGCAAGGCTGTGTTACCATTTTTGTTGCATCTATGGATCTGGGACCTGCGGTCAGAGAAAGAATATATCTTTCCTGGTCCTAAATTTACTTGCAATTTTTTTTAAGTCACAAATATATGTAAATTAAATCACATTTTAATTTAAGCAAAATGTTTTATTACAAAATATAAAATTGGCTGGTCACATTGACTGGGTGTGGTGGCTCACGCCTAAAATCCCAGCACTTTGGGAGGCTGAGGCAAGTGGATCACTTGAGGTCAGGAGTTCAAGACCAGCCTGGCCAACATGGTGAAACCCTGTCTCTACTAAAAATACAAAAATTAGCTGGGTGTGGTGATGCACGCCTGTAGTTCCACCTACTCGGGAGGCTAGGCATGAGAACTGCTTGAATCCAGGAGGTGGAGGTTGCAGTGAGCCAAGATCGGGCCACTGCGTTCCATCCTGGGCAACACAGCAAGACTCTGTCTGAAACAAAACAAAATAAGAATTGGCTGGGCACAGTAGCTCATGCCTGTAATCCCAGTACTTTGGTAGGTCAAGGCAGGAGAATCACTTGAAGCCAAGAGTTCCAGACCAGCCTGGGCAACATAGTAGAACCCTGTCTCTACAAAAAAATTACAAATAATTTAAAAATTAGCTGGATGTGGTGGTGCCCAACTGTAGTCTTAGCTACTGGGGAGGCTGAGGTGGAATGATCCCTTGATTCCAGGAGTTCAAGGCAGCAGTGAGTTATGATTGCACCTCTGCACTCCAGCCTGGGCAACAGAGCAAGACCCTGTTTTTAAACAATTTTAAAGCTGATGGAGCATGAGTTCATTCTCACATATCTGAGGAATTCGGCTTGCCCAGTAAGTCCGGTGCTCCCCAGCCTTCTCAAATATCTCTTGGCAAGGCTTTCATTTGAATTCCAAAAGATTTCAGTCTGAAAGGTCAAAGTCTTCTCTGATAGCAAATGTGGTTAAGCAGTGAAAATGATCTCTATTACACTATTAAATCCAGCAATGAGAGGACATATTTTCATGACCAAATATAGGTGCATTCAACCTCTCTTTGATGTGTAGATAAGTTCTCCTTGTTCTCTGCTCAATTAACAAGTTCAATTCTCATGTGAATTCTACTTATAAGCTTCATTATAAAAATCATGTACCAAAATGAGAAGCCTTCTTTCTTTTCTTTTTCTTTTTTTTTGAGATGGAGTCTTGCTCTGTCACCCAGGCTGGAGTGCAGTGGCGCTATCTCGGCTCACTGCAAGCTCCGCCTCCCAGGTTCATGCCATTCTCCTGCCTCAGCCTCCCCGGCAGCTGGGACTACAGGCGCCTGCCACCATGCCCAGCTAATTTTTTTTGTATTTTTAGTAGAGACGGGGTTTCACCATGTTAGCCAGGATGGTCTTGATCTCCTCACCTCATGATCCACCCGCCTCGGCCTCCCAAAGTGCTGGGATTACAGGCGTGAGCCACCGCACCCAGCAAGAAGACTTCTTTCAATCTTATTTAGAACTTTTTAACTTTCCCAGGACCATTGATAGACATTATCAAGATTTACTTTTTAACAGTCTCATTTTAAACAATCAGCCAGGAACTGTTTTGTAAGCTCCTCAGCAGTTGCAAATGACAATGAATATCATCACTAAGAATTTTATTTCACAAATTTTACCTGAAAAATTAAAATGTTAATTTTCCTTCCTCTAAATTCTGACCTGAGAACAACCATTCACACAATATCTTCCATCTGATATGGTCATTCTCTTTTCATCTGCCAATATGAAAACTAGTAGCAATAATGCATAGAAAAAAACCGAAGTTCTGAAATGAATTTTTCAAAATCATTATTCACAAGAATGTATTTCTATTAATTAAAAAACGAGGTGAAACTCATTAGTAACATTATTGAGGAGAGATAGTCTCAGAGTTCTAGTCCTTGAATATGGGAAGATTTATCTATAAGACACTTGGATAAAATTGTCTTCATCCAGATGCAGCCAGGATGATCATTCTAACAGGCTGACAGTTTAATTTTATAAAATCCGCAGACATCAGAGTTTCAAAGCAAACAAGACGACAAGTCTTTATCATTTACTTCCCTGAGAATTAAGGTTATATGTATAATATATCTTTATTTATATAACATATATATCTATGTATATGTTATATATAAGTTATATGATAGCATTGATATATATGTTATATATCAATGCATACATATAATGTGCGGCTTTTTCCCAAAAGTAAGCATTGTACTTTTTTAATCTGTCGGAATGAACATATTTGAATCTATTAAACTAGTCTAAGAAAATGCTGCTTACTATAACAGCTCTAAAATCATTCTGACTCCTAAGAAACTCAGAGTAGAGAAAAGCATGTCCCAACAGATCACAAAAGCTTACTATGGGTTATGCATATGGTTTCAAACATATTTGCACTAAATGGAATATTAGTCTTTCTAGATATACACAATTACACTTAGCTTTTGCATCTGATTTTAATTGGATTTTAATTTTGCTTCCTCTAAAGTGCTAATTTAAATAGGGCAGGTAAAGTAGATGCTACAATTACTAATGCTTTCCAATGAAATGAAGGCAAGCTAATTCCAGCAAAGAAAAATCTGCCATATGCTGTTAAATTTCTAGACAAGTAAAACATTACTAAATTAAGTTGATTAGTAGAGATCACTCTATATTCATGTGAAATGTGACCACAGTATATTTAGGGATGAATCCTTTCCTTTTGAAGAATGTAAACTGGGACGGGCACGGTGGCTCATGCCTGTAATCCCAGCACTTTGGGAGGCCGAGGCGGGCGGATCATGAGGTCAGGAGATTGAGACCATCCTGGCTAACACGATGAAACCCCATCTCTACTAAAAATACAAAAACAATTAGCCGGGCGTGGTGGTGGGCACCTGTAGTCCCAGCTACTTGGGAGGCTGAGGCAGGAGGATGGCGTGAACCCGGGAGGCGGAGCTTGCAGTGAGCTGAGATCGCACCATTGCACTGCAACCTGGGCGAGAGAGGGAGACTCCGTCTCAAAAAAAAAAAAAGTAAACTGATTTAAGTTAATCTCTATACATTGCAGAGAGCTGCAGTCTTTATTATAAAGATAAACTAAGATTGCTGAAAGAGTAGATTTTAAAGAGTAGATTTTAAGTGTTCTCACCACAAAGGAAAAGTATGTGAGATAATGTTAAATAGCTTGATTTAGCCCTTCAACGATGTATACTTACACTAAGAACATCATGTTGCACACCAAAAACACATACCATTTTTACTTGTCAATTAAAATAAATCAATAAATACAAAAAACTAACCAGAGTTTAGGTAAGTATATATAATATTGTGCCTGGCAGACAATAGATATTTGACACATATGTGTTGAATGAATGAATGAGCAAAAATCCAGTAAGAGATAATGTAGGCTAACCTGCAGTTGAAAATGTGAGTTGCTCAATATTTGCATGGGAGACTCAGCCACTTGTAATCAGATCGTTTGGCTACTTTCCATTCCTCTAGGATCACAATGGCTACTGTATAAAGACCCAAAAGGAATGAAGACAATGAATTCTTCCTAGTTCTTCCCAGCATTTGTTGTGTTACCTAAGAAATCATTTATTGTGTCAAGCCATAGAAATACAACATCACTGTGCAATAGTAAAAAGAACCCCAAAATGCCAGTTGAAAATACCTGCAGGATATGCATTCATGCACAAATCTCCTCTAGAAGATACGTGCCGAATGGTCAGCACCTTAAACCTTTGCAGTTAAAGCTAAGGGTTTCCCAAACCAGATAGTTCCTTGATGGAGACTTGGGGAGCACCACTCACCCACCACCACCTGCCCCTCTAGACTGGCAGGCATGTGTCTCAGTACCCAGCAGAAGACTAACTCTGGGCAGGGTTCAAGCCCCAGGATGAGATCCTCAGAGAGATGATGAGATCATCTTCCTGTAGGTAGAGTCAAGAAAAACCCAGCAGGGAACTCTGGCCCCTTTACCTGCCCCTCAGAATAAACAATACACTTTAAATGCCAGTGCTCCATTTTAAGCGCTGGATCGTACATGGTCAGATTTTCACCTTAGATCATTCTGGCAGAAATGGAGAAAACAGATTGAAAGAGCCAGATTATGGACCACTTATGAGGGTCAGTACTTGTTGAGAAAAGCTTTTTTGTACCTGAATGTATACTAGACTCAAATTAAGTCCAGGTGTAGATCTACCACCTTCTTGATATTTAACCACAAAATAAAAGTTAGATAATTTTTCTGAGTTTCTATTTTCTCATGTAA
The DNA here is from genome assembly GCF_000001405.40 of Homo sapiens. Classification (NCBI taxonomy): domain Eukaryota; kingdom Metazoa; phylum Chordata; class Mammalia; order Primates; family Hominidae; genus Homo; species Homo sapiens. The sequence goes on from NC_000018.10 coordinate 11,125,064, forward strand.
AACCTTTCCTCCTTTCATTTCTTCACATGTAAAATCTAGAGTCATACCCATTTCACAGAGCATTTGCAAATATTAAATGGGAGAAAGAACACACACACACACACATGCACACATACAAAATACACACACCGTCTATCCTGCCAGGCAGGATGGGGATACTGCAATAAGCAAGAAAACCATTATAAGCCCTCTTGAGCTGATAATTCAAAAAGTATGCGAATATGTTTTAAAAACTACGATGTGTCCGACAAAAGACAGTGCTGTTAAGTCATCAGCATTGTTACAACACTTACAATGTTGAATGTGGCATTTCAGCAATTTTAAAATCCAACTTTTGCCATTATCTGAAGATACTTGAGAAAGGAAACAAGTCATTCCTATCACATAAACAACTAGACCCCTCTGTTTAGCTGACAAAACACGTGTTTAGTGCTAAGAGTCCAGCACACTTCATTACGTTGTTGGATTGTTTCCTCAATACATCTGCGGAAACCAAGACACACTCCATTCCAAATAAAGATTACCCTGCAGAGAAGAGCATCCTGGTTTTATGAAGTCCTGTTGTAACCATAATGAAAGAGGAAAAGAAACTTCAAAGCCAGGATTGCGTAGGTCTATGCCAGGAAAAGAGAGTCTAGTTCAGGGCAGGACAACATTCCAGCCCCCACTGACAGCAACTCCGGATCCTCTCTCTGAGCAGTGCCAATTTTTCCAAAGTGTTTAGAGGTCCCTGCCAGCATTGGCTTTCATCAATTTGATTGTATGAAGTGGCTGAGTGAGTCTGAGATAAGATAGGGCAAGAGAAATACACAGTCATTCACACCTGCTAACTTGAGGGCTGCCAGGGCAGCTCTAGTGCCCAACGGTAGAGGAAGAATGGTGCCTACCATAAGATGGACAGACAAGTAGCACGTGACTGTGGTTTTATCCAGAGTGTTGTCAAAGCATGCATAATGACTCCATTTATTTTCCAAAATACGTTAACTTTCAGTCTGTACTTACCCTTAGACCTGCATTACAAGTAGAACAGCGGGCAGTTCTGTCCATGCCCACCAGAGGCCTGCAGCACAGGTAGCTGAGCCATATGCTCCCCCGCATAGAGACTGGTTGCTTTGGTTTAAAGTCTCCACCTCACTTTTTTAAAGTCAATATTCCCAGTAGGTTCAACATGAAGTTTTTACTATCACAGTTTTGTTTATTATTTTCCAGAAATCGGTTTTGGTGGTGAGGAATGATCTGTTATTTGCCCAGCATCACTCCCCTCTCTCCTTTCTGTTCAAATGCAAGGACTCACCTCATTGCACTGCGCCAGCCTGAGCGCCCATGGCCACAGTGATGACTGTTCCATCTTACTGTCCCCTAGGCCTGGTAAAGGGCACTCCTCACACAGTCCTCTTCCCACCTTTAGTGCCAGTTTCTTGGTCATCTCCCGCCATCATTCAAAATACTCCAAGGCCCACGTGATCTGATGAATACCATCAGCAATTTTTTTACTCTGAGAACTACAGAGAAGCTGAACTATCTATGGTTTAAAGAGGATCTCAAGAGCAGGAGCCATGCCTTACATATTTTTTTTTTTTTGTATTCCCAGAATCGAGCCATCCTGATAGGCCAGTAAATGTTTATTGAATGAATCAATGAAAGATCAACATCACAATAATAATTTACATTTATTAGATGCTTACTATATGCCAGGTACTGTTACACAGTACCTTAAGTACATTACTATTTTTTTTTTAAAGCCCCAGTGACCCTATGAGGTAGTTACTTTTATTGCCTGCATTTTACAGATGAGGAAACAGAGACTGAAATGAATGGAGGAATGAATGAACACACTGGTGTCATTTCCATTGCTGTTGTGTGAACATTTAAGGCAATGCACTGAACTGTTGTGTGCTTACTACAGGCCAGGCCCTACCCAAGACACTGTGGGTACAGCAGGGAATAAGACAGAGAGTGGGAGCTTGTTTTCCTGGAACAAACGGTTTAGTTGGAGGAGAGAGAAGGAGGCAGGAGGCAGATATTACTAACCAAACTCACTAACATGAAAGAATTGAGACAGAGTAAGTCCTGTGGAGATAATGACAGAAGTGTGTTGTGACGGTGAGTGACCAGGATCAGGTGTTTGAGGGGTGCGGAAAGAGGTCCCTGAGGAGGTGACATTTAGGCTGAGATATAGGAGGAAACGCTCATCAGAGCACACAGCCACTGCAAAGAACTTAAAGCAAAAATAGTTGCATCTGAATGTGATGGTTAATACTGAGTGTGAACTTGATTGGATTGAAGGATACGATGTATTGATCCTGGGTGTGTCTGGGAGGGTGTTGCCAAAAGAGATTACCATTTGAGACAGTGGGCTGGGGAAGGCAGACCCACCCTTAATCTGGTGGGCACAATCTAATCAGCGAATATAAAGAAGGTAGGAAAACGTGACAAGGAGGGACAGGCCTAGTCTCCTAGTCTACATCTTTCTCCTGTGCTGAATGCTTCCTGCCCTCGAACATCAGGCTCCAAGTTCTTCAGTTTCGAGACTCAGACTGGCTCTCCTTGCTCCTCAGCTTGCAGAAAGCCTATTGTGGGACCTTGTGATCATGTAAGTTAATACTTAATAAACTCCCCTTTATATATATATACATATATATGTCATGTATATATATACACACATATATATGTATGTGTATATATATGACATATATAGGTATATATGATATATATGCATATACGTGTGTGTGTGTGTGCATGTGTGTGTGTGTGTGTGTGTGTATCCTATTAGTTCTCTTCCTCTAAGAGAACCCTAATACAGATTTTGGTATCAGGAGTGGTTCTAGAGGAACAGAATATTAAGGATGGAGTTCTTTCGTTGGTTTTGGGGTTTCTGGAGTTGGCTGCTTAGTATGATTAGACCTGAAAATGCTAAGGACTCTACTGCTAACAGTATGCAGAACACTGGTAGTCCTGGGCATGAACTGTTTAGAGAGTTACACAAAATAAATGCATTTGACACTCCTGATTCACCACTCATGACAGGCAAGGAGTTTAGTGACTCTATACCTAATACCTTTAACCATATGTGGAGAACCAAGGAACGTAATAAAGCTGGTTGGTTGCTCCTAAGTTCAGTGGACAAAGTGATGAAAGAAAATGATGAACTCAGGGATTCTGTCTCCAGGCTTCAGAAGCACATACTGAGCCTCAAATCTGCTAAGATTGCCTTGAGTGAGAGTCTTATCTCCTTAGAGAAAGAGCTGAAATTGTGGAAAAACAGACACAAGCTCTTATCATGAGAGTGGCTGACCTGCAACGAAAGATACATGCACAGCCCCGCCAGGTGTCTACTGTTAAAGTGAGGGCATTGATTGAAAAAGAATGGGACCCTGCAACTTGGAATGGGGATGTGTGGGAGGACCCTGATGAAGCTGAGGACACTGAGTTTGTAAACTCTGATGAACCTTTTTTGCCAGAAGGAACAGCTTCCCCATCCCCAGTAGCGGCAACATCCCTTCCCAAACCACGCTGCCATCAGCCTTTCCACCTTTGTCTGAGGACATAAACCCTGCGCTGCCTGAGGCAACAGTGATGGCCTCCCCTGAAGCAGTTTCTAGGCAAGATAATGTTGATTCTCCTCAGAAGCCTCCCCCAACACCTCTGTTTGCTTCTAGACCTATAAATAGACTAAAGTCCTGGCAGGTCCCTAAAGATGAGGTTGAAAGTGTGACCCATGAGGAGGTGCACTACACTCAAAAAGAACTGTTTGAGTTCTCTAATTTATATAAACAACAATCTGGAGAACAGGCCTGGGAATGGATATTAAGGGTATGGGATAATAGTGGAAGGAACAAAGAGTTGGATCAGCCTGAATTTATTGATTTGGGTCCACTAAGTAAGGACTCAGTGTTTAATGTTGCAGATCAGGGAGTTAAAAAAGGTTCTAATAGTTTATTTGCTTGGTTGGTTAAAATGTGGATTAAAAGATGGCCCACTATGAGCGAGCTGGAAATGCCTGATCTCCCTCAGTTTAATGTAGAGGAAGGGATCCAAAGGCTTAGGGAGATTGGGATGGTGGAGTGGATTAGTCACTTTAGACCTACGCATCCCAGCTGAGAGGGTCCAGAAGATATACCCTTGACCAATGCCTTGTGAAACAGATTTGTGAGGGCAGCACCTGCATCTTTGGAACCACAGTCACTCAACTACAAAACTTAAATACAATGAGAATAATTGGATCCCGAGGTGGCAGGGACCAAGTGGCAGCACTCAACTGTCAAAGGCAAGGTAGGCGTAGCTACCATAATGGACAGCAGAGGCAAAGCGGCAATCAGAATAGTCTCATTCGTGTAGAGCTCTGGCATTGGCTAATTAATCATGGTGTTCCTAGAAGTGAAATTGATAGGAAGCCTACTGCATTCTTACTTAAATTATACAAACAGAAAACTTCTAGGTCGAATGGACAAAAGACTAATTTGAATTATAAAAACAGAATCACAGCCCCTCAATCAATTTCCAGACTTGAGCCAGTTTATGCACCCAGAACCCCTTGAATGAAGGGGAGGCTGAGTCCCCTTGAGGAAGAACCCCACTACATTACGGACAATATATGCAGTGAATCTTTCTCCCATTCTTCCCCAAGGAGACCTCCAGACTTTTACCAGGGTAACTGTGCATTGAGGAAAGGGAAATGATCAGACATTTCAGGGACTACTGGCTCTGGCTCTGAGCTGACGTTGGATCCAGGGGACCCAAAATGTCATCGTGGTACTTCAGTTAAAGTAGGGGCTTATGGAGGTCAGGTAATTAATGGAGTTTTAGCTCAGGGCTGACTTACAGTGGATCCAGTGGGTCCCCAGCCTCATCCTGTGGTCATTTCCCCAATGCCAGAATGCATAATTGACATAGACATACTCAGCAGCTGGCAGAACCCCCACATTGGCTCCCTGACTAGTAGGGTGAGGGCTACTATGGTGGGAAAGGTCAAATAGAAGCCATTACAGCTGCCACTACCTAGAAAAATAGTAAGTCAAAAACAATATCAAATCCCTGGAGGGACTGCAGTGATTAGTGCCACCATCAAGGACTTGGAAGATGCAGAGGTGGTGATTCCCACCACATTCCAGTTCAACTCTCCCATTCGGCCTGTGCAGAAGACACATGGATCTTGGAGAATGACAGTGGATTATTGCAAGCTTAACCAAGTGGTAACTCCAACTGCAGCTGCTGTACCAGATGTGGTTTCATTGCTTGAGCAAATTAACACATCTCCTGGTAACTGGTATGCAGCCATTGACTTGGCAAATGCCTTTGTCTCCATTCCTGTCCATATGGCCCACCAGAAGCAATTTGCTTTCAGCTGGCAAGGCCAGCAATATACCTTTACTGTCCTACCTCAGAGGTATATCAAGTCTCCGGCTTTGTGTCATAATCTTATTCGGAGAGACCTTGATAGCTTTTCACTTCCACAAGATATCAAACTGGTCCATTACATTGATGACATTATGCTAACTGGATCCAGTAAGCAAGAAGTAGCAAACACACTGGACTTATTGGAGAGACATTTGTGTGGCAGCAGAGGGAAGTAAATCCTACTAAACTTCAGGTAAAACTAAATTTTACCTCAGTACAATTTCTAGGGGTCCAGTGGTGTGGGGCCTGTCTAGATATTCCTTCTAAGGTAAAGGATAAGTTGCTGCATTTGGCTCCTACTACAACCAAGAAAGAGGCACATGGCCTGTTTGGATTTTGGAGGCAACACATTCCTCATTTGAGTGTGTTACTTCAGCCCATTTATCAAGTGACCCAAAAGGCTGCCATTCTGAGTGGGGTACAGAACAGGGGAAGGCTCTGCAACAGGTCCAGGCTGCTGTACAAGCTGCTCTGCCACATGGACCATATGACCCAGCAGATCCAATGGTGTTTGAGGTGTCAGTGGCAGATAGGGATGCTGTTTGGAGCCTTTGGCAGGCTCTATAGGTGAATCACAGCAAAGGCCTCTAGGATTTTGGAGCAAGGCCCTGCCACCTTCTGCAGATAACTACTCTCCTTTTGAGAGACAGCTCTTGGCTGACACTGGACTTTGGTGGAAACTGAATGTTTGACTATCGGTCATCAAGTCACCATGCGACCTTAACTGCCTATCATGAACTGGGTGCTTTCTGACCCATCTAGCCATAAAGCGTGTCATGCACAGCAGCATTCCATCATCAAATGGAAGTGATATATACATGATCGGGCTCGAGCAGGTCCTGAGGGCACAAGTAAGTTACATGAGGAAGTGGCTCGAATGCCTATCATCTCCACCCCTGCTACCCTGTCTTCTCTCCCACAGCCTGCACCGATGGCCTCATGGGGAGTTCCCTATGATCAGGTGACAGAGGCAGAGAAGACTAGGGCCTGGTTCACAGATAGTTCTGCACGATATGTAGGCACCATGTGAACATGGACAGCTGCAGCACTACAGCCCCTTTCTAGGAAATCCTTGAAGGACAGCGGTGAAGGGAAATCTTCCCAGTGGGCAGAACTTCGAGCCATGCACCTGGCTGTGCACGTTGCATGGAAGAAGAAATGGCCAGATATGTGATTATATACTGATTAATGGGATGTAGCCAATGTTTTGGCTGGATGGTCAGGGACTTGGAAAAAGCACGATGGGAAAATTGGTGACAAAGAAACTTGGGGAAGAGGTTTGTGGATGGACCTGAGTGGTCAAAAACTGTGAAGATATTTGTATCCCATGTGAGTGCTCACCAATGGGTGACCTCAGTGGAGGAGGAGTTTAATAATGAAGCGGATAGGATGACCTGTTGTGTGGACACCACTCAGCCTCTTTCCCCAGCCACCCAATGGGCCCATGAACAAAGGGGCCATGGTGGCAGGGTTGGAGGTTATACATGGGCTCAGTAACAAGGACTTCCATTGACCAAGGCTGACCTGGCTGCAGCCGCTGCTGAGTACCCAATTTGCCAACAGCAGAGACCAATACTGAGCCCTCGATATGTCACCTTTCCTCAGGGTGATCAGCCAGCTACCTGGTGGCTGGTTGATTATATTGGACCTCTTCCAACATGGAAAGAGGAGAGATTTGTTCTCACTGGAATAGACACTTACTCTGTATATAGGTTTGCCTGTCCTGCATGCAATGCTTCTGCCAAGACTACCATCCATGGACTCACAGAATGCCTTATCCACCAACATGGTATTCCACACCGCATTGCCTCTGACCAAGGCACTCACTTTATGGTGAAAGAAGTGTGGCAGCAGGCTCATGCTCATGGAATCCAATGTGCTCTTACTATATTCCCCATCATTCTGAAGCAGGTGGATTGATAGAACGGTGGAATGGCCTTTTGAAGTCACAATTACAATGCCAGCTAGGTAACAGTACTTTGCAGGGCTGGGGCAAAGTTCTCCAGAAGGCCGTGTATGCTCTGAATCAACATCCAATATATGGTACTGTTTCTCTCATAGCCAGGATTCATATGTCCGGGAATCAGAAGGTAGAAGTAGAAGTGGCACCACTCACAATCATCCCTAGTGATCCACTAGCAAAATTTTTGCTTCCTGTTCCCGTGACATTACGTTCTGCTGGCCTAGAGGTCTTAGTTCCAGAAGAAGGAGCACTGCCACCAGTAGACACAATGATTCCATTAAACTGGGAGTTAAGATTGCCACCTGGACACTTTGGGCTCCTCCTACCTTTAAGTCAACAGGCTAAGAAGGGAGTTACAGTGTTGGCTGCGGTGACTGACCCAGAATCACTGGGTCATCTCCAGCATGCATGGAATACAGGAGATCCATTAGGGCGTCTCTTAGTATTACCATGCTCTGTGATTAAGGTCAATGGGAAACTACAACAGCCCAAACCAGGCAGCACTACAAATGACCCAAACCCTTCAGGAATGAAGGTTTGGGTCACTCCACCAGGAAAAAAACCATGATCTCCTGAGATGCTTGCTGAAGGCAAAGGGGATACAGAATGGGTAGTAGAAGAAGGTAGTCATCAATACCATCCATGACCACGTGACCAGCTGCAGAAATAAGGACTGTAACTGTTATGCGTTATTTCCTCCTTTTTTTGCTAAAAACATGTTTGTGCATGTATACACTTGTACTCAGAAAATCATTTTATTTCCTTTCTCCTTTATCATGTGACATAAGATTTACTGACTTCATATCAGCATTTAAGTATTGTTAACTTTATGTAATAGTATTTGGGTTGGGGATTGGCACGTTTCCGGTTGTACAAGGGATAGTTGTGTTATGGTAGGCGTTAAATTATGACCTTATTATTGTCTTTACTTGAAGATCTCAGGAAATGTGTATGGGTTCAAGTTGACAAGGGGTAGACTTGTGATGGTTAATATAGAGTGTCAACTTGATTGGATTGAAGGATACAAAGAATTGATCCTGGGTGTGTCTGTGTGGGTGTTGCCAAAAGAGATTAACAATTAACATTTGAGTCAGTGGGCTAGGGAAGGCAGATCCACCCTTAATCTGGTGGGCACAATCTAATCAGCTGCCAGTGAATATAAAGCAGGCAGAAAAACGTGAAAAGGAGAGATGGGCCTAACTTCCCAGTCTATATCTTTGTCCTGTGCTGGATCCTTCCTGCCCTCAAATATCAGACTCCAAGTTCTTCAGTTTTGGGAGTTGGACTGGCTCTCCCTGCTCCTCAGCTTGCGGACAGTCTATTGTGGGAACTTGTGATCGCGTAAGTTAATACTTAATAAACTCCTCTCTCTATATATATGTGTGTATATATATATATATACTTAATAAACTCCTATATATATATACACTTAATAAACTCCTCTCTCTCTATATATATATACATATACACACACATATCATATTAGTCTGTCCCTCTAAGAGAACCTTGACTAATACACTGAGTAACAAAAATAATTCCAGTGTGGTTAGAGGGTGCAAGAGCCAGGGGCTTTATAGGGCAAGTTAAGGATTTAGGGTTTGCTTTTTAAGTGCAACGAGAAAGTGCTGGAGGGTTTAAGGCAGAGGAATGATATCTGACTTCAGTGTTGAAAAGACCCATGTGATCAGCACATAGAGAAGGGACATTACAGAGAAATATGAAACAGGAGGACCCTCAGGAGGCCACTGGCCGTCCAGTCATGAGGCGGTGGCGAGGATGCAGGATGCTGTGTGACTTACTTTAACTCCCTTGTTGGTTTTCCACTATGCTGCTGCTACACCTGCAAATGTGTGTAGCCTGGTTATTTTCTGGCATTCTACAGCTGCTGGAATATCTAGTTTCTAAGACTGTTTCTCTCTTTTTGGCCACTTTGTTTTTCTAAAATAAAGAGTACAAACCAAAGTCCACAAGCACACGTAAGAAAAAGGCAGTCCCAATTGTCCTTCCCTCTCACGGCTGTGACAGTGACCACCCATCAGCGCTGGCTTCATGCTCACACCTGAAAAGTGAGATTTCTGGTCTTCTAAAAAGGCCCTCATCCCAAAATACACTCTTTTTATTGTTCTATCTGGTAGTCCAAAAGTCTAGAATTTTTCAATGTGTGCTCCCAGGACATTAGTGCCAAGGGTAAGAAATAGGGGTTCTGTGGTCAGATAAGTTTGGAAAACACTGCACGTTGTACTAAACTCTTAGAAATTCACCATTTGCAGTAGACACTAAGCTCTGAACAGTCTTGCCATGTTTTAGCCCAGCATTTCTCAAAAAGACCTAATCATGAAACTCAGTATCTCACTGTCATAAATTACTGAATAAATAAAATAAAATAAATAAAAATGTTTCCCAATAGGAATTACATCACAAAATTCAAAGTGCTACATGAGAAGAAAGAACAAAGCATGATTTGGTGAAGAATGGAGAATCAAAAATCAGTGCCCAAGGAGGATCAGCACTGAACTACAGACACCATGGATAAGCTCTGAACCCTCTAATATTGACCCCCCACCCCACCCACGGTGTTGTGTAATTGTTAAGGGGAAAGAAGAAATTAAGTAAGCAAAAAAAAAAAAAAATTTTTTTTCTTATGTTTCTATTAAGAGATGAAGTGCCAAGAATTGGGATGAGGAATACACAGATGGGAATATTTAGAGACTTTCACAATAAGATTTCAAACAATTTTCAACCTCTCTTTGGGCAAGAGCCAAAACAGAAACCTAGAAAGCAGTAATGTCCAAAGCGATAACGAGATATGGACCAACAAAAACTCAGACATGAGTTCCTTTGACTTCAGAGAAAACAAACGCCAGGGCTATTTTAAGGTAGGAGAAGCTGGGTGAATAAACATCTTGGATGACTGTACGATTCTGGTGGGGAATGTACAAGATCTCACTGCAGGGGTGCAGAAAAAATTGAGTAAAATCAGAGTATGATTTTAAAAAGCAACTGAAAGACAAAATCACCAGTGGGCTATTAAATCCACACTTCAAATATGCTCTTTTAAAGAAAATGCATTATATGCATATTCAAAGCTATAAAACATTACAGTTTGGTTCACGTTGCAGATTGATTGATTGATTGATTGATTTAGATGGAGTCTAGCTCTGTTGCCCAGGCTGGAGTGCAATGGCGTGATCTTGGCTCACCGTAACCTCCGCCTCCCGGGTTCAAGCAATACTCATGCCTCAGTCTACAGAGTTGCTGGGACTACATGTGCGTGCCATCACGCCCAGCTAATTTTTGTATTTTTAGTAGAAACAGGGTTTCACCATGTTGGCCAGGATGGTCTCAATCTCCTGACCTCGTGATCCGCCCACCTAGGCCTGCAAAGGTATTTTAAAAAGAGTTTGTTTGACTGGGATACTTCTCCTTCCTTGGGAGATTAGCACTGCATTATCAACATAGATCCCAGAACTAGATTCCATTTGCAAATCTTGAGTATGGATCTACTGGAATAGATAACCAACTGGTGTCATAAGGATAAGATAATATCTGACATTTGTTTTCTCCTAAGTAATAAGTTTGGAAGGATACATCCTTACTCTAAAGATAATTTGCTCAAAAAATTTTGATACCCAATTTAAGAAATGCTTTAGGGACTGTGTCACATCTTTTAAAATAACTTACATGGTGGGAAATTGTTGCACTTTGACAGTGACTTTAACGTTTGAAAACAGCTCAAAATAGTGATAAGTGGAGTCCAGTGAATGAGGCGGGGGCATCCGGCACTGGGTCAGAAATGCAGTGTGGCTCTAAGGTGATGCAATGGCAACCACGATGATGCTTTGCAGCAAAACTGATCATGCTTTGAAAGTTATTGCTAAGAGGTTTGTGGTTGTTAGTGAAAAATCCTAGGAGCTGGAGCCTTCTAGAAAACACTGGCTCACAAGAAACAAAGCCCATTTTATGAGGATCCCTCTTCTCACTGCCTTGTAATCTGACCTTTCATCTTCTCTTGTGACTGAGGATGGATTGCCAGAGGCTGTGTGCTATAGCAGCCTTGTCTGGCCTGCAATGCAAGCCTGGCTCCAGCTAACAACATTTCCTTGCTTACCAGCTAGACTGATTTTGGGCCCCAAGGCCAACACGAGTCAGGATTAACTAAGCATGAGCAAGCTCTAATATTTAGTTTGAAAAATATTTAGTTTGGAAACCAGTGTTTAGTTTGATGAGAGGAAGGAGAGGGGGTTGAAGAACAGGAAGCTCACACCCCCACAGCTAATGCTGGAGCCATGACAGCAACACCTGCGTAGGGAGCCCCAGTGTGAGTCTCTGACCTACACACACCTGAGGTGTTTGTGCAGCCTACCCTTTCCTTTTATGGATAATAGAATTATCTGAGATCTCATAGTCTACAATGTCAATGTAATACTGCAACTGATTACATTCAGTATTTTACTCAGTATCTTTTTCTGACTCAAATCTTGTTTATATCATCCTGTGTTCTTATACGATTGTTTAGCTTCAATTAATAACTATAATGTAGCTTGGTTTTCTTTAAAGGCATGTCTAGTAATAAGCTATGGGTGATGAAGCTCCTTTATTTCTGCAGATACAGAAAGCCAATTCGAATCTAAACATGCTCACACATCTTGTTCATGCTATTCCCATCACTGGTGTGCACAGTCTCCATGATTCTGTATTAGGAGCAGGTGAGGGAGGATCATCGAAATATTAGAAGCTCAAAGCCTAAACTAGAATGTCTCTCCTTCATAATCAACTGTTTTGTAAAATCCTGAACCACATCTCTAACATGGTAAAAAAAAATTATTGTTCTTAGCAGTTCCTAACCTTTCTTTGAGGGCAAGTCCTAAGTGTATGTACATACGATGGTTATTAAGGAGGCCAGAGCGATTTAGATATAAAAATTCCGGCCCGTAGGTTAAAAAGCAGTGATTTATGGCCATACCTTTTAATATTAAAAAAGGCATGTGCAGAAATATTACCCTGAGAATTGTGAAAATATTTCTTAGCCTTGAACACCTCATTCTAGAGATGATGTAATTGAAAAACAGAGAGTTTCTGTAACTTGGCAAAGTCGCATAGCTCGTTATGAACAGGATCCAGATTTGTTCGTTAGACCTTCAAACCTGGGCCCTTTCCAACCTGCATGCTGCCTAGGTTCCCTAGCAGGGGTCCGTGTACCTGCAGCAATGCCAAAGGCAGTGCTGCCCGGCAGGGACAGTCCAGGGAAAGCAGCAGGAGGGAGATGGCAGGAGCAGGGACGGCCCAACTCTGCCCATCTCTCTAATTCACTTCCGTGGTGCTTCAGTTCAAGATTACCAGCTTGCTAAGGGTCTTCATCCTTCTTCCTTTTCTGCACCTGTGGCCAAACTGCTGCCCTAGAGGGTTTGACCGCAAGAGAAAACAGATCGATTTGTGTGGTTCCAGGAGAGCTAAAAACATTTTTAAAAATAATATGCATTTCAAGGATGTGACTTAAGTTTTACCATTGTCAAATGGGTTTTTCCTTCTCTGTTCCCTGCAAAGCAAGTAAAAGGTGTTAATTGCCATCCTGATACAATTCACATTTATGAAAGTCACAGAGTATATATTAGGCTGTTATAAATTTTATATTCAAAGACTTAAAAACCAATCGCTATAGGAAACTAGACCTAACTCTATTTTCAGACTTCTGAGATGTTCAAAACAAAAATTAGTCAGTGAATGTTTTAGTCAATTGGTAAATATTTCTTCAGTGTTCCTGTGTGTTATAGTCCTTGCTGGGTAGCTGAAGTGTAATGATCAGAGGTTATGTTCACAATTTGAAAAACCTACAATCCAAAAGATATAGTGTTTTTTTTGTTGTTGTTGTAGTTTTGTTTGTTTGTTTTTTGAGAGCAAGCCTCATTCTGTAGCCCAAGCTGGAGTACGGTGGCACAATCTCAGCTCACTGCAACCTCTGCCTCTGGGACTCAAGCAATTCTCATGCCTCAGCCTCCCGAGTAGCTGGGACTACAGGCGTGTGCCACCTCACCCAGCTAATTTTTGTATTTTAGTAGAGACGAGGTTTCCCCATGTTGCCCAGGATGGTCTCGAATTCCTAAGCTCAGGTGATCCACCTTCCTCAGCCTCCCAAAGTGCTCGGATTACAGGCGTGAGCCACCACACCCAGCTCAAAAGATGTTTTGAAATAGCTGCTATCTGTATATTGAGGAGTAAGTTCCGTGCTGGGGATATCAACAAGGACTATACAAGGTCCCTGAACCTACAGACACATAGAAGGCAAGACAGTGCTCCTACAACTGAATATTAATACAACATTCTGTAATGAGTATGCAAAGTGGCGGGTGAGCACAGAAGGAACAAATCCTTCTGCCTGGGAAGGAGAATTAAAGGAGAAAAGATGTCACGTTGTTTCAAAGGTAACCATGAACCATAGCACAGAGGCTGTCTGATGTATCTGATTGGGGAGAAGACGGCAAAGACAAGACCATTCTCAACTTTCAACAGGTCATGTTCCAAAGCTTCTCGTAAGCTGATTGGTTCTCTAAGTTATCTGCCCATTGAAACTGTGCTGCTCTCGATGAGAAGGAACTCACACTAGCCAATGTTTTACTCATAATCGTGCCTAACTTCTGTATCTGGAGCTATTCATAAAAGCAACTATTTATTGAGTATTTACCGTATGTCGGGCACTGCTCGAAGCACTCTATAAGCACTGACATCTAAGGTTTGCAACAATCCTCTGAGCTATGTTCTATTATTACCTTGTTCCAGATGAAATATCTCAAAAACAGGGGTCAATCTGAACAAGGTCACACAGCTGAATGACAGAGCCAAGATCAGTACTCAAATAATCTGGCGTTAGACCTGGGGCTCTTAGTCAAGATAGTACATTTCACCTTGAACATCAGAAACCATATAATGCAAATAAAAGAAGGAGGAAGAGAAAGAATTTTTGTATTGTTTCTGGTGTGTAGAGCAGGCCCTGAGAAAGATGTGCTACTTTCTGTGTTGGAAGTCATCTTGATAAGCCCCTAATTGCCCAGTGATATTATGACGCCCTAATAAATATATGGGCATCTAGATCATACCTGTACCCACAATGTAAATACTCTCTCTCCCATTTATTTAAAATGTCCATCCCATCCCACCTAGACGATGGGAGCAAATAAGCTATTTGACCTAATATATGGGTAATAAATAGCCATTTTATCTTTCCACAGATATTTACACTTCAAATGAAGACACTTGTTACTCAAAGAAATGGGTTGGGAGAAATAAAATAAAAATGTAATCAGCAGTGTAGTAGGGTCACCGGCCTCCCCTTCCTTTAACGGGTTCTGGGACTCAAATCTGGGAAGTGATTGAGGGACCGTGACTCTTTCTTTTGGTATGTCAAGATAGACTTCTGTTCACTTGATCTAGAACTCTTCTGCTTATACAGATCGAGTCAGAATTCAGTAGACTGCCCATCGAGTTCTCTTCTAGGGACACCATGACCACCTACCCAATGCCGTAGGACTCTCAAGTCAGGCTGTTCAGATTGCTGCTTTGACTCTGCTGTTCTCCATGATGGCAATGCACCCACCTGGTCTTTGGTGATCACATGGCCCCTGCCACCTGGGATCCAACCATCCCCAATGCAGTTAAGGACCCCCAGTCAGTGGCAGCAGCTTCCACTGCAATCTCTGACCTGCAGAGAAGAGCAGCCCCAGAGCTCTTCATGGACACCTGAGGCTCCCTTCAAAAATTTTTTTCCCCATACTTCTGGTGAAAGTGTGTCCTCTGCACCCTCCCAAGGTGGATGAGCAGATCTTTTATGATAAATCCACTGTAACATCCCAATCTCCCTAAGCCTCTGGATCCCTTCCACTACAGCATACCAAGGTAGCTCTGGCATTTCAACTTCATTTAGTGTAGGCCACCTTTTGGTGCCTGTTTCCGCCACCAACCAAACTGTCAGAGCCCTTTCTAAGCCCTGGAGGTACAACACTGACCAGATCCAATTTCATGTTCCTTGCATCATTATTCCACACCCTAATACCCATTCCCACACACTTTCCTCTAATTTATGTCTAAATTGAGAAAATCATGTTATTTTGGAGTATAGATCTCATGGGTCATACTTTGTGCCTCATCTTTAGATGCTTAGGGACTTGAGTCTAGCTAAGGTCTAGAAACAAAGATGGGTGTTAGTGTAGATCCTCAGAAAAATGTCAGTGGTGTCTGCAAGGCACACTAAGGTACCTTCAACCACAGGAGGCACAGATGATACTGTTATTGCATGCTAATATCCACTCTCTGTCATGGCCACAGACCGACTTTTCCCATTTTAGCTGAGCACATTATCCACCAAAATAAGAATGACATTTCCCAGCTTCCTTTACAGTACGGTAGGTGGAGAAGATTCCTACACTCAGGCTAACTGGATGTGAGCAGAAGTGATTCTTGCAGCTTCCTGGCTGTACCCGTAGAGGGTGGGGAAGGAGTGTTCCTTCTGCATCTCCTACCTCCAGCCTTCAGCTTGATGTGGACATGGTAACAGGCTGTCTTGACCCATGCAGATGAGTGCAACCCATGTGGGATGGAAGAGTATGGCTGCGGCCCTGGGAAACTTTAATAAGCAGAGTTAACATACCCGCTCCAATCACCTACATCTTGACTATCAGGGGAGACAGACTAAGTTTGTCTTATCTAAGCATCATTATGCTGAGAAACCTACATGGAAAACAGAACTCAAGAAGAACAGAATTGTCTTTGCTTAGAACTGGCTGACGGGGCCTTCTATCAACTGGAGAAAAGAGCCTATTTGCCGCCAGTCAGGACTACAAGCCTGTTGGGCTAATGACCAAGTGGTGTATTTAAGGAAGAATGGCAACAGTGGATTGACTGGTTTGACCAAGGTTAAGGCTGGAATGTAATTGCCCACTGAGAAAAGCCCCAACTATGCTTCTCGGAAGAAGATTCTGGGGGGCTTAGGGCAGGGGAAGGCACATCTAGCACCACACAGGGTAAAGATGGAATGAGTCCAAGAGGCCAGGTTGGAGGCTTGAGGTTCTGCATGCTGCGGGGCGCACAGAATGTAGAGCCACGCAACACGTATGTGGACCGAGATGAAAACTTAAGGGCAAAACTTAGAAGCGTGCCCTTGAACAAGGTGCTTGGTGTGGACAGCACTTGCACCCAAGGCAGCAGTGGCACCCACAGTCTCGTCACAAATGTGCAGGCTAAGGAGCAGACGAACGGCTTGTTCACTTGACCTAGAACTCTTCTGAGCACACCAGAGAAGGCCCCGGGGAGACAGGATGCTTGGTGTTGACCAAGTTGAATCTGAAGTGGGGTGGAGAGTTCAGAGTTGGCGACAATACTGAGGCGACAATAACCTGAGTTTGGGTTGCAGAATGAAATCACTCCTGAAGAGAGCAGTGAAGATCTCAGCAGAAGCTTCCCCCTCCAGGTGACTGGTGAAATGGCCACAGAAAGCCTAAGTAGTTTCTGCAGAACTAACCTCATAGATAGACCAAATCCATCCCTTTTTTATAAAATATATTTATAATTTGCAAGTTCATATACAAAAGGAGTTTAAATATGTCCATCCACAATATCCTAGTTTAATGCAGAATTGTGCCCAAACAGTACGGCACAAAAGGGGAATTTAAAAATAGCAAGTCATAATCAGAAAACATCACCATCCTATATGATAAAGCAAGGCAAATAAAACTTATATGTATATGCTGCAGGTGCAATGAAAACATTTTATAAGCTGGTAACTGTTACATATATTTTCTTTTAAAAACCCAACAACACATTGAAAAAATGCAAAGCTATACGTTGCTGTTAAATTTTAAAAATAATTTAGCTAAATTTTCTATGCCTATTAGATAATCACTAGACAGTTAAGAAATTATGAAATTATTAGACACTGTGTCTCTGACGGGCTTTTCACGATGTTGAGTATGTACTTCTCATCATTTTGATTTTGCCACGTCCTAGACAGGTCTGGAAGGTCAAGTGGAAGCTCTGAGGAATATGACAAACCTCGACTGACAGCCAAACATTTAAAAAATGTTTTCCAGGCCAGGCGCAGTGGCTCACGCCTGTAATCCCAGTACTCTGGGAGGCCAAGGCAGAGGATCACTTGAAGTCAGGAGTTCAAAACCAGCCTGGCCAACATGGTGAAACACCATCTCTACTAAAAATACAAAAAATTAGCGGACTGGGGTGGTGCACGCCTGTAATCCCAGCTACTCCGGAGGCTGAGGCAGAAGAATCGCTTGAACCCCAGAGGTGGAGGTTGCAGTGGGCCGAGATCGTGCCACTGCACTGCAGCCTAGGCATCAGAGTGAGATTATCGCAAAAAAAAAAAAAAAAAGGACCGGGCACGGTGGCTCACACCTGTAATCCCAGTACTTTGGGAGGCCAAGGTCGGGGGATCACGAGGTCAGGAGATCGAGACCATCCTGGCTAACATGGTGAAACCCCGTCGCTACTAAAAATACAAAAAAATTAGCCGGGTGTGGTGGCACGCACCTGTAGCCCCAGCTACTCGGGTGGCTGAGACAGGAGAATGGCATGAACCCAGGAGGCGGAGCTTGCAGTGAGCCAAGATCACGCCACTGCACTCCAGCCTGGGTGACAGAGCAAGACTCCGTCTCAAAAAAAAGAAAAAAGAAAAAGAAAAAGTTTTCCAATATTTTTGTTTTTAGCCTCAGTTCAATGGGATTTTTTTTTGACTGATTCCATGTCCTCAAGACAACGGTTTAAATCAAAAATCTTATAAGCTGTAATGTTGTAGATTATACACATGGTATCATATTGTTCTTCATCAATTGTTCTTCAATATCCAGATGGCTTATGCTATTCTAAGTTCTCCTGAATATTTATGCAAAAAAGCATATTATACACATCATTACTACATAACTTCACATACAATTCACTGTTAGTAGCACAAGAACCCAAAAGGAAAATGACATGTTAGAAATAAAATCACATTAAATAAAGACTACAAAAATGGTGCTGAAAAACAAAAGCAAACGTTAACAGTATTGATCTAGTGAGAACAATATGTAATTGTTCTAAATATTGTTTTTAAGTCCTATTAATCAGAAAAATGCAACTGCAGATTTGGAATATTGAGTAAAACTGGTGAGAAAAATCCTGAGAACTAAAAATCTCTAACACACACACACACACACACACACACACACACACACACACTCTCTCTCTCTCTCTCTCTCTCTCTCTCTCTCACTCTCTCTCTCTCACATAATTTGGCTCTAGGAAGGCACTAAGTTGCCTTCCCGTGAATCCCACATCCTCAGATCAGCCTTCTCCTGGCCCATGCTCTTACCTCCTAGTCTGTTAATTTTGACTGAGACATCGCCTGAGCATTCTGCTCTCTGCTCATCTTCATAAAGGTAAGGCAGCGCCTGCTGTGTGTCAGGCTTTATACAAGGTGTGCTGTGCACACTATCTCACAACCATGCATGTAATTCTTGAGTGTTAAAAGCGAAACAAAACCATAATAGAATATGTTATTTACCATTTTACAGAAAGAAAAGAGAAACAAACAAAAGGAACTCCACAATCATACAGTGAAGGGCAGAGCCATGAGGTCAATGAGAGTCTCTTAAACTGCCCAGTGGCAACACCATCCTTCCTCAAAGGTGAAGTCCAAAGCCATCTGCTTATCTCTGACTACGAACAAACACACATCACCCGTAAAGAAACACACACACTTACAAAGCAACAGGACGGACACATAGCTGCAGCACCCACAGCTCAGGAGACAACATGCTCATGCCCGTCTGTGTGGATGAAATATTTTATTTTAGAAATAAGCTCTAAATTTCCAATCCTTTCCACTGTTCCTTTTTTCATTTCTGAACTTGATAAATAGTATCTACTTATATAAGGCTGAGAAAGTGTGACAGAAAAGCAAGTTACTTTCTTAAATGCCTTCCATGAATCCTTTGGCAGCTGCAGCCACCTACCACTGAGAGCTACAGCCACCGCAATAGGGGAGGCCAATGCTGATCACATAGACATTAGCTCCATTTGTAATTCTTGGACTGTGTGGAAGTGTGATTTCAAAATGATATATATTACACAGGAAAATACATCATGCTATAAAGAGAAAATTATGATTAGATAGCCATATCTAATATATTTCAAAAATGAGCCCAAATTTTTACTCACATTTTAATCCAACTATCCTTAAAGGGAGTTTTAGAGATTCTTTCTGGATTGGAATATTGTTTTTCAGAGCACTAGTTGATTGGTTGATTCTTGTTTGTGGGACACAGTCCCCTTTTCTGCTCTGCTCTTTCCTAAGCTCTGATTGCCTGTTTTAGGGGACGGGCAGCCATGATCTCTAATCCCCTGTTCCCCCAAGCAAGGCTTCCCCTTTCTTCCCCCTGAAAATATGTAAGTCATTTCTTCCAGGCAAGACATTAGGGAACTCCAGGCAACACTGGGCAAGATGGAATAAAATAGTCAGGAACATCAGTTAAAAACAAATACACCAGTGCATTCTTGACCGAAAAAATCTCAAATCATATACCTAAAGACGGGTGGTATAGTAGAATCCTGTTGAAAGAAACTAAACGTAAAATATGTGTAAAATGTTCAATAATTATCAGTTATAATTATTAGAGATTGCATAATATGGAAAGTCTTTACCTTTTTGTGTATTATGTGTAAGAAAAAAAATCAGATGACTTAGCAACTAGTCACAGATAATTTGGGAGATATTTAAAGTTTTTGGTGGCTATGACTATATGCATATCCATCACAGGATGTTCATTTTGGATGGTAAATAACATATTCTATTATGGTTTTGTTTTGCTTTTAACACTCACGAATCACATAACATCTGCATTGAAGAGGCCTGAGTTCACTTATCACTTCTCTTAAAATTTATCTTATACGGAAAAAGAAAAAAAATCTGTAACCATTATATTAAACACAATAGCAGTTAATTTTTAACATCTATCATTAAGTAAAAACACTAGGAATCTCTGTGCAGGAAAATTTCAACATCAGTATTAAAGAAATGAGCTTAAAGGAAAATATGTAAGCTTCTACAAAGGCTTAGCTTTGAAGGCTGCCTTTTCCAGATATAAAAATAGATGGCTAAAATGTAAAATCGATTCTAATGGCAAGCAGACCTTTGCACTCACTATGCGCAGGAGAGAAACCTGAATATTTGACTTAGCAGCACCTTGGGAGTAGGCAGACCAGAACCCTCCAATAACCTTGGAAATCTCCACTTCTTGCAGAAAAGAATCAAATGCTCAAATAAGGTGGCATATCTGCTCAGCCCTCTTTCATCCCTGTAAGTAAGTATCATGATTAGAAGATGTCAATAATTTTCCAGAATGCAGGTTATCTTTTCTAAGCACCCAACACGTGAGGAGGTCACTAGGGTCAGGTCTCCCAGGGAGCTCAGGCTCTCTTCCAGCCAGGGGCCAGTCCACCTCCTCTGCTTTCTCCTGGATGAGGCTTTTCCTAGGGCAGGGGAAAGCAACAGGTTCCAGGCTGAGCAAGGGGGACCACTACCTTCTAACCCCCTACACACTCATACTCACACTCACACATACTCATAACACATGTGCACACTCACACTTATGCACTCAAACTCACATTCACACAAACTGTTACACAGTCATGCACACACTCGCACACCCAGGTTAGTCTCCCTGAACCCAGAGAGGTGTGGGAGTCCTGAAGAATGAGCTGGATAAAGAAGGCAGCCCCAGGATCTCCTGGGCAGACTCAGCTGTCCCCGAGGCAAGACGCAGTTTGCATGTTGGCCAAGGTTATTATCTTGTCGCCCCTGGAAGCCGAGCTCCTCCCAGAAAGTCCAGGATCAAAGTGGACTCAGGCAGCGGGAGCCCCCAGCCTGCCCTGGGGCACAAGCCAGCCAGCAGGAGGTGAACAGTGTGCGGGCACCACAGAAGAAGCTCGGTGGGGGTCCCAGTGGTGAGAGGCAGGGCTGAATCCAGACCCCAGTCCCCCCACCTCCACCCTGGCTGCGAGTCACCGCCCCGAGCCCCTGTGCCCAGCAACCCAAGCTGGGAGTGCTGTGAACCAGGCCAGCTCCCCTTGGGAGGGCAGAGTACTACAGCCCTACTGAAGGAGTTTTTAGCATAGGCCACCAACCTTTAGTAGGACTGACAGGCCCCAACCCCAGCATCCGCGGGGCTTGGAGGCAGGTGAGCTGAGTCCAGGGAGCCCAACCTGCAAGAGCCTATGCTCAGGGCAAGGTCGCAGGCAATCGCTGCTGGCACTTCATTCCGCCACTGGTGCCAAGTCACAGAGTGGACCGAGCTGGCTGCAGGGAACCACATGCCTAACTCTTCCAACAGTCACAGTGAGCTGCTGTCCCTTGGAGAGCGGGATGGGGGATGGGGAAGAGGGTGTCCATCCTCCAGGAACAGTGGCGAGGAGGACGGTGGATAGAGGGACTGGGAGGGAGCAGAGCGGCCTTTAACCTTAGTGCCACTCCCCAGGACCCCTCCCCGGTCTGCACTGAGGACCATAAATCACGCTTCATGCTAAAAGCCCTTTGTTAACTCGGTCACTAGCTTCCAATTCACAAATAGTAAATGTGCCAGGCACAGTGCCAAGCGCTTAGGATACAGAGATGATCCCTGAGCAGTGACACCCTCTGTGTGTAAGGCACCTGAAGAATCCCTTTCCCAAATCGCTTTTCAAGCTGGCGGGGAGAGAGGTGCATATCCGCTCTGTGGAAGCTTAGCTCTTCATCTATGCGAGTGAGACTAGACCCCTGCAAAATGGAAACTCAAACTGCAAAGTAGAGAACGAGGCCAGCATCCACCCGTGGGTCCCTCCTGCTGCCCCGGGACCCCGCCTGGCCACACCTTCCCTCCACTCGGAGCGCCTTTCTGGGTTTTCCGCTGAGGTTTGTTGAAAAGACGCCTCCCAGACTCTTCACTCACGAAGTGTGTTACAAAAACTCTCCCGGCAACTGTCCTGACCCTCACCAATCACGCTACAGCCCCCATTCGATTGCTTGCACAAAGAAAACATTTAACACAGGTGTGATCAACCTCGGTCAAGATGCAGAGTCATCAACCTCGGTCAAGATGCAAAAAGGTGGCCTTTTCTGCGAAGGCCACGCCCTCTGTAAATACAGTTACTACTTGGTGAAAAGCGCTCTACTTCCTAGCTCTTGTTGGTGAGAGGGAGAGCAAAGAACCAGGGCCCGGCATTCTTACGAGAGGAATTCAATGTCACAGGCACTGCCTGTTTGAGGAGAAGATCAGAAACGGTCCGACTCCCAGAACGCAGCACCCAGTTGCTTTGCACGCCAGGCCAGTCCTGGGGAAACGGTGCAACGCTTGTCTGGGCGTCGAGGAGGCTCCCTTGCGGTCCTCCCTGGGCCCTTGCCAGTCCCAAGGAGTTCCAACCCTGCTTTCTAACCCTTTAAAATCTGGAGAGGGCGGCCGCTGGGAGGCGGGACTAGGTGTTGGGGGTCTATAGCCTTAGCATCCAGTACTTTTGTAGTAGGGGCTTTTGTGGAGGTTTTAAAAAATAAGTAAGAAACGTCAAGGCACTGTCTCCCTGTACCTCGTCCCTCTTTTTCTTTTTTGAATGACCGGAGTCCTTCACTTCTTCCTTCACGGTTGCTGGGATTTGGGGTCTGGGAGAGATGGCCTCTGGGCCGTCTGGAGGCACAGCATGCTGTGCTTGCAGGGTCACTGGGGCGAGGGGCTCAGGTAGGAGCCTGACTGTACCTACGATGGGGACGCATCCGCCTTCCAGCCACAGCAATGGCCATCCTTAGTACACAAGTCAGTACTCCACGAAAGAAAATCCACGTGTAACTAAATTCAACATAAACAGTTTCCAGCACATGCCCGTCCCGAGCATCCTGTTAAGAGATACCCCGATCGCGCGCCCCAGAGTGGGAAGTGAGAGAGCCAGGCTGTGCACCAGGGACAGCGCGCGTCTGACGCCGCTGGCCTCCCGAATCGAACCCCAGAGCACCAGAGCCCTTCACTTTGTTAAGAAGTCCCCCACCCAGGCGCCCCCCTCGTCCTCCTCAAGTGCCCTCGGAAAGCGGACCAGACTCACCTACTGCCAGGCAGATGGGCAGCAGCAGCCTGAAGATGAGCCCGCACACCACTTCTGAGGCCATCGCGTCGGTCCGGCGAGTCGGAGCAGAGGGGCGAGGCTCGAGGGTCCCTAGGGGTGGTGGGACGCAAGGCCCATGCCCGTCTATGGCCTCTCGCCGCCGGCAGCTCGCAGCCACCCGAGCATCGCCTCGGCGCGGGCCGCGACGCTCTCCGCCCCGAGGGCACGCTCCCGGGGCTCTTGGCCGCCCCTCGCCCACCGGGCTCTGGGTAGCCCCTCACCAGGCTCTTGGCGGCCACCTAGCCCGGCGCCCGGCCCCCTGCGGCCGGCCCATTTAGTGTGAATCCTGGATCCGGCAGCGGCGGCGGCTTCTTCAGGGGTAGCTGATGCCGGGGCCTTGGAGAGGGACGCTTTGGGAGGGTCCTGGGAGGCGGCGCGGCGAGCAAAGGGGGCAAGAAGGGCGTGCTGTGCTCCCGCCTGGCTCCCGGGGCGTCGTTTGGGGGCGGCCGGGGAGTTTTCTACTTGGAAGCCCCTCTGAAGCCACCGCGTCTCCTTTGCCCGGCCTCGTCTCCGCTGCCCACGCAGGCTGCCGCGCTCTGGCCTCGGCCCCGGCTCTCGGAGCTGCCCGGCGGGCTCCGGGTCTCGCCCTCCAGCCCCCAGGCGGCCCGCGGCGGATCCCCGAGAGGCAGCGCAGCTCAGCCCCTGCGCCCCCCAGCTTCGGGCCGGAGAGACCGGGGTGGGAGCTGCCAGGCGCGCAGAACCATCCCCGCCACCACGGGGCTCGCCTTGTGGGTCCGGTGCGCGGGCGGCGCTGCGAGTCCCTCCCTCACTCGAAGGAACGGCGCGAGCGTGGGGAGAAATGGAGACCAGAGCGCATATCGGGTGAGTGGGTCTCCCACTCCCTCCTCCACCGCCTCAATTTAAAACTCAAGAGAAAAACCAGCGCCGTCCCGTCGCCCAGCGCGACCACCGCCTGCCGCCTTGCAGCCTCGCCCTCGCGGCGCAGCCGGGGCTCCCCGGCGGCGCGCGCTTCTCCACCTTCAATGAAACTTTCGAAGCCCTCACTCGGGGACGGGCGTGTCCCCCGGCCAATGGGATGGCGGCTCCGGGGCCTGCGCGCGCGGAGCCCGCCCCTGAGCGGCTGGGGAAGTGAGAGCCTTGCACCGGCGCGGAGGGCAAGCCCCCACCCGCGGCTCCCGCGCCTGGGAGAGACCCGGCCTGGCCTGCCAGTGGGCTGCGCGCCTTGGCTCGCCCTCCGCGGGCACTCCTGCCCCACTGGCTCCCGCAGCCCCGCGGCTCTGCGTGGTTCTGTCATTCCGGTGGTGCACCCTGGCATCCAGTCCACCCGGCCGGGCCCTGAGCTTGCCCAAACCCAGGGAACCGTTTAAGGTCCGAGGGAAACGCACAGGCCCGGCAGGAGAGAAGCCAGGGGCTTGGAGAGTCCTGTGCGACCCCGACTTCTGCTGGGTCCACAGGTGCACACTGGCATTAAGAAGAATAGAGCTGAATTCATCTACACCGTTGACCCTGCCCATATTTCACATAGCAAGAACTTGCCATTCTGAATAGACTCTGGGAAATCCCGGGTCTTCCCCAACAGATAATGCACCCACTTTGTGCATTTGGGGGAACTCTCCGTTTTCACCTCAGTTTTGCTCCTTGCTTGTCGTGGCTCTGGGGAAAGAGAGCGTTGGCACTGAGAATATTCTCCCTTTCTCCTAGTGCACTGCTTTTTGCCTGTTCTAGGCAAGATCTAGAGAAATCTGGCTCTAGCTGGGAGACTGCAGTGTGCCTGGGTCTTTTATTTAACTGTTATCCGAGAGTGGAGGAGATTTGCTAGAGCACAGTAGGGGTCTTTCCGGACATGGAGGAAGAGGCTGTTAGCATCTGTAGAGAGGACTGTTCAGGACTGGCATTCCATCAGGAGGACACACTGGGAAGGACCTGGCTTCCCTTCCGCACCTACATTCCTGGCTTGCATTAGTTGGAGGGGATAGAGCAGTGAGCTGATGAAAAACAGGCAAACCCCCGTCTTTTTAGCCATTTGAAACGCTTTTGTGGACATCCCTTTTTTGAGACAGGGTAAGCTTGTGGTTTGAGCTCAGGTGCCTTCACGAA
Organism: Homo sapiens; assembly: GCF_000001405.40. Lineage (NCBI taxonomy): Eukaryota > Metazoa > Chordata > Mammalia > Primates > Hominidae > Homo > Homo sapiens. The sequence goes on from NC_000018.10 coordinate 11,150,643, forward strand.
TTCTCTGAGAATTACAGAAAAACTATGAACCATTGCTTTTTGAATGAAGACTCAAGACAGTTGGCATATGGTGAAGACACCCTGAAACTTAAACCACCCATGTGCTCTGCCATCCTCAAGAAGCTTAGATAGCACCTAAACCCGGGCGTAGTCATGAGCTCAACAGCAGACCTACAGGAGACGATAGAACTTAAATTAGCATCCAGTCACCAAGAAATGCTATCAAGAAATGGTTTGTGTAGCCTGTTTGTAGAAGCCTGATATAAATCTACCACTAATTTTGATGTTCATAAGTCTGCCTTCACATCCATGCCCTCCCCACCTCACCCCATGTACGACTCATTCTTGGGAGCTAATAGGTGAAGGACTCCTGAATTTTAAATAATACTGTGTCATCACATGAATTCTGTATTCTCTGAATACTTTCTTATGTTCTTGATAGGCTTCCCATACTAACAACTGTCTAGACTTTTTCACAATAATTCTCTTTCAAAATAACATAAGCTGGGAGGCACAAGATTCCCAGCAGGTGGGTGGTCTTACCAAATAAACTTCGAGCTTTCTCTGCCACAGTGTGTACCAACTTGGCTGCTGGGGCGTTAGAGATTTTAACAACTACATCCCAGTTCTGAGACTTCCAACGTATGTACTCAAGGGGAAGTTTCAGCGGTCTAGACTACATCTGAAATAGGCTTCTCCATGCTGGCTACATGTTGCAGTCACCTGGGGAGCTTTTGAAAAACGCTCAGTCTCCACACTCCCTGAAATCCTGATTTAATTGGTCTGCGATGGGGCCCCCACACCTGTATTTTTCTTAAAGCTCTCAAGTGATTCTTAAGTATGCAGTCAGGGGTGAAGACCGCTGTCCTCATTTTCATATCAGACTCAGAAAATAGTCCATTGGCTTTCAAAACCAGCATCTCCAAACCTCATCCACCTTTCTGAAGCTGTATTTTCTTTCACAATGGACTTGACTTGAGCATACATATCCATAGCAGTGGCATTGTTTTTACAAGGGCTGTTTAACCCTCAATTTTCCCTGCTCTCATAGAAGCAGTATCTGGTGTCTAGACAGGTTAGTTTTTAAGGACTCACCAGCCCATGAGGGTATTGATCACTGTTCGGGAGCTCTGCTTGCCTGGCAAACTTTATTCCAAAGTTTGCCAGAATCTTGTCTAAAATTTGAAAGAGTATGTGAGTTTAAAAATGCTTTGGGGAGAAATCAAACATGTAAAATACTCATGGACATATTATTTTGATATTTCATGGGTACCTGATGTGTATAATCACCAGTTTACCCCGGTAATGAATTAAGCACCAGACACCCTATGCCTCTCTGCATCCACAATGACAAACAATGACTTCTTTTGATCATTATTGAGACTTTTAGTGCCTCAGCTTCTTCATCTGTAAGTTAAGGAAAGCAGTAAAACCTACCCAATATGGAGTCTACACAGATAGAGACAGTTTATAGAGTTCTTAGAGAAATGCCTGGTGCATAGTAATCATTCAATGAATATTGGCTGCTATTATTCCTATTATTGTTGTTATTATTGTTGTTGAAAAACAAGAACTAATTCTACATTTATCAAACAATTATGCTAAAGCACAGTGACCTGCAGTGAGACAGACAGCAATATGTTTATGCTCCCAGCAATATGTTTAAGAACTGATCAACATTTTCTTAAGTGTTCAAGGTTTTCTCCATAGTGTGTCATTTTTTGCCTTGTGTGCATTTCATCTCACCTGTTTAGATTTATCTTTTTTTTTTTTTTTTTGAGATGAAGTCACACTCTGTTGCCCAGGCTGGAGTGCAATGGCACAATCTCAGATCACTGCAACCTCCGCCTCCCAGGTTCAAGTGATTCTCTTGCCTCAGCCTCCCAGGTAGCTGAGAATACAGGCGCACACCACCACGCCTGGCTAATTTTTGTATTTTTAGTAGATACAGGGTTTTGCCATGTTGGCCAAGCTGGTCTCGAACTCCTGAACTCAGGTGATCCAGCCGCTTTAGCCTCCCAAAGTGCTGGGATTACCGGGGTGAACCACCGCACCTGGCCCTAGCTTTTATCTTTTCTAAATTTGGTTTACTGTTGCACTGATTGACAAAATCATTCAGAAACTCGATCTTTGTCCCAAACACTAATTTGTTTGTATCATGCTTACTAGGAAAACACAGATAATGTGTTTAGCCCTGTGTCATGTTTAGCTCTATGTCTGTTATTCTCTGGGATACTTTGTTAGCTTCCTTTGAAAGATCTCAGAGATGGATATTGTCCCAAATGGGAACTTTACAAAACAATGTCTCCCACAAGGAATATAAAGTTTGTCAACCTGGCATTTTCTTCCTTCAGTGAAATCTGCCAAAATCCATTGATGCCATCCAGCCTGTGGAGAATGTGGTACCTCTTACCAACTTAATTAAGGAGAATATCTTCTAGCATTGGTCACATGTGTTTTTCTTACATATATGTTAACTAAAAAATTTAAATATATATATATTTCTAGTTCTCATTTATAATTATCATTGTGTCATAAGGCACAATATTTATTTGGAAGTTATTTTTGTTAGAAGCCACAGAGATTTTGGCTCTTATTCTTAAGAAAACTTGGAAGCTGAATGGCTTTCTTCTTTTTGCTAATATATGCTGAGGTTGTACATTTTTAAAAAGCTATCAATTTAATGTTTACAGCAGAAGTATTTTCGAAGTCTCCAAATTCCAAAGACCTAGACAACTTCTAATAATGTGCAGGAGACATGGTCTGCTCATACTTCTGCTAAAGAAGTTATCCCTCATCAGAGCAACGCACAGTGAAATTCACTGTCTCTGACATCTGGCCCTTTGGTGGAATCTTCCTGCTAAGCCTACGTAAAATGTATACTGTAGCCTTAACTGCAGTTTGTGAATTGTAATATGGATGCCGAATCTGAAGCACACTGCTGATTTGTATCTGTAGTTCAAAAACCTTGAAAACGCAGCTAACCGACATGTCTATGGGCCTTATCTTTCCAACTAGATTGGAGGATATGAGGACATGGATAAAATTTCATCTATAAAGCAGAATATAAAGCAAAATATTGTTTCCAAGTGAATCATATTCTACTTACACACTTCCATTACACACACACACAGAGGCATGTGCACACAATCTCACACACACATATACACACTCACCCATAACCACATCAGATATATCTCATATAAAAATAAAAGGACCATGTAAACTTGTATTTGGTTTTTGGAGGTAAACACATAAAGGAAGAGATTCCGATTTGTGGGGAGGATGCTCTGCTGAAGTTGGTGACTTGCCTTGGGCACCACAGGCACCCAGGTGGCCAATGCTAAAACATGGAAACCACCATTCATTATTTACAGCCAACATTGTGAGCAGATTTTTATCTAGCAGTTGTCTATCTGCTGTCTGTGTATTTGTTGCTGAAGCCTTTGAAGAGGCTGCTGGTTGTAATATCATTTTTTCAGAAAGGCTTATCATGCTATAAGAAGACTTATGGAAGGGAGCTGGAATTTGGAGGATAATTTTGCAATGAAATTGTAGTAAGTCAAAGCAAGTTACTAACCAAAAAAAATTACAGGTTTTTTTTCTTTACTTGTAACCACTGAGATAAAAAAATTCAACTTGTCCATGTCCTAAATAGATATTTATTAGTTAATGAATCATAATTTGGATTCTAGCTGTGTTTGTAACTGCATCTGGATCTCTGCAATGGTCATAGAAATGTTAATATTCTTAATAAGCTTAGGTGACTTTCATTCATTGGTTTTATTGAGATTTCGAATATGTGTATGGATATGCGTGTGTACAAGTTTTGAAATAAGCTATTTCTAGTTCTAACACTAGCCTATAACTAATTGGATCCCATCCAATGATTACAGTTAACTAGTTTGAAGCTTTGTTCACTTATTCTCCTGCAGTGCCACCTTTTGGCTAGAAGTATATTGAAAAAATACAAGTACTTCTAGCAGAAAGCATGCAATTAGCCACAATCAACAAACAAACATTGATTATAGCCCATGTTGCAGGCTGATGGGCTCAGAAATACAGCAGTGGGCAGAACCAGCATAGCCACTGCCTTCATAAGGTCACCATCCAGCAATGAAAGACAGACATTAACCAACTATGTATAAATAATGAAGAAAATAATACATGCCTGCAAAGAACTCTGAAGAAGTATTGGGCCTTAGGGGAGAGTATAAATGGTAAACCCAACCTCCTCTGGGGGAGGCACAGGAGGACAGATCCCTTGAGAAGGAGATGTATGTCACATCTTGAAGGGTGAGTGTAGATTCACCAGAATGTAAGCTCCAAGTGGGCAGGGACTTTGTTGTTCATGGCTGTATCCCCAGGACCTAAAAGAGCATGGGGCCCATAGTACAGACGGCATAATATTTGTTGACTGAATAAAGGAGTTACCTAGGTGAGAAGAGAAGGAATAATGTTCCCAGGCAGAAAGAACAGATGACATCCCAGAGGCAGCAGAGAGTACTATGTGTTAAAGGATTTAAGAGCAGTTCACAGGAAATTTCCATATTCCATCAACTGGACGTCCCACACAGCTTAAACCGTTTGCCAGGTCATATGGTTTCCAATTTATGGGCTTCTCTATTTTCCATTAAATTGAAACAGTAGTAAACACTTAAGTACAAGCAAAACAACCGACATAGGCAGTCATAGATCACAGGAATAAGGACTGTCACACAGGAAACCTGGAGTTCGCTGTCTTTAGTGTCCTGTCTTCATGCTGCTGTTCGCTTCTCAGATGGGAGACTCAAAGTGCACTGGCAGGAAGTCAAGAGACTTGGGACATTTCAGTTCTGGCAACCTCTTGCTGAAATGTTGCTAAATAAATTGCTTGACCTTTCTGGGTTTTGTGGGTTTTCCCACTTTGGGGTTTTTGTGTGCTCAATCTGCTTTCTTTTAAATCTTTGTACAGGCAGAGCAAATGTGTAGATGCCTTCTGGGCCTGCAGCAATACTGTAGCCAGTGAGATGCAATTCCTCGGGCCAAGAGCACATTCCTGTGATCCACTTACTCCTCTGTAAATGGAGGGCATTGGCGGGCATGAGCAAATGCTTAGCCACACTCCTGAAACAGGAAAGCAGACCTTGAGGGTGAACTTCCTGACTGAAAAGCTTTTCTCCGTAGGTCAGTGTGACACTTTCTCTGGCTTGCCCAGTGACAAGATAAACATCATGGGTTCATCTAAGATTCTTTCAGGTCCTTCAGACAAGAGTTTTGCTTGTTCATATTGGGATGTGAGTACATGGCCCCTGTATTACGGTTCTCTAGAGGGACAGAAAAAATAGGATAGATGTATATATGAAGCGGAGTTTATTAAGGAATGTTGACTCACACAATCACAAGGTGAGGTCCCACAATAGGCTGTCTGCAAGCTGATGAGCAAGAAAGCCAGTCCGAGTCCCAAAAGCTCAAAAGCAGGGAAGCCGACAGTGCAGTCTTCAGTCTGTGTTTGAAGGTCCAAGAGTCCCAAAGCTGAAGAACTTGGAGTCCGATGTTCTAGGGCAGGAAGCATCCGGCACAGGAGAAAGATATAGGCAAGGAGACCAAGCCAGTCTAGCCTTTCCACGTTCCTCTGCCTGCTTTTATTCTACCCGTGCTGGCAGCTGATTAGATGGTGCCCACCCAGATTGAGGGCGGGTCTGCCTCTCCCAGTCCACTGACTCAAATGTTACTCTCCTTTGGGAACACTCTCACAGACACACCCAGGAACAATACTTTGCATCCTTCAGTCCAATCAAGTTGACACTCAGTATTAACCATCACAGTCCCCTTACTAAAATAAGCAGAAGACAACAGTGTGCTTCCCGTCAAGTGAGAAGCAAAACCTCTGGAATCAAAATCCCTCAGCGAGATGGGGGTCCCTGTGTCCCCTTGCCTGGATTATTACTGGCATGGGGTTCCTTCTCTCTTTCTGATGAAGGAAAAAATGCATTTTCTTGTATTCTGTTAACACAGCTGAGAAAAGCAAGCATTTTAAAAAAGAAAACATGCTATAAAATTAAAGGTGAATGAACCCCTGTTGTATAAAATGTCTTTTCCAAAATTCAAGTTTCTGATGTTATGCGTCTCAAAACAGTGACAACTCTTTGAGATTCTGTCAGATAACTGCTCTCCCACCTCAGATGAGTCTAGGGCCAGCTACAAAATTTGTGAGCTGCAGTGCAAAATGAAAATGTGGGCTCCTTGTTCAAAAGGCAGAAAAAAAAGTGCTACTCAGAATCCTTAAATATAAAGGTTTTCCCTTTCTTCTACGGCCTCTCTCTCTCAAATTGCCATAGCACTTTATATGGCCATTTAATGTTCTAAGTGAGTAAAAGTCAAAATCATTTAAATTATTAGCATAATTTAACCATAAATATTTATATTCCACAATGTCAGTTTTAAATCCAAATAAATATAAGAGCATTCAACTCATATGCAGAATTATTGAAATCACACACTTTGTGTTGTTTAGCTTGTACAGGCATATGCACTTTGTTCTTAGCAAACAGTTGACAGACTGCATGGAATGAACTCAACTGTTTTTATTTCACTTCTTGATATACTCACATTCTACCAACATTCTCTGCCTCTGGCTTACTGCGAGTTAAGAGTGGGCTGACAGGGAAAGGAGCTAGGGGTGTCCTTTCTCCCCTTTCCTTGCATGTCATCATTTTCAGCATAAGTGTCTGGCTAACATGTGCTGTTAGAAACAGGAGTAAGAAAGGGCATGAGGCGATCAGGCACATTCAGGACGGTATGGCCATGTACAGGTACCAAAATATCACGTGTACCCCAAAAAGCTGTACAACTATCGTATATCAACTTTTATTTATTTATTTATTTTGAGACGGAGTCTTGCTCTGTGGCCCAGGCTGGAGTGCAGTGGTGTGATCTCGGCTCACTGCAAGCTCCGCCTCCCGGGTTCACGCCATTCTCCTGCCTCAGCCTCCCAAGTAGCTGGGACTACAGGCGCCCGCCACCGTGGCCAGCTGATTTTTTTGTATTTTTAGTAGAGACGGGGTTTCACCGTGTTAGCCAGGATGGTTTCGATCTCCTGACCTCGTGATCTGCCTGCCTCAGCCTCCCAAAGTGCTGAGATTACAGGCGTGAGCCACCGCGCCCGGCCCGAATGGTGGATTTTAGCATTTTCACCCTTTTTTTTTTTCCCTTGGCTTCTGGCAACATTTTATTTATTGGGCAATCACCATTTTGTGTGTGATTAAGTTCCTATACCATTGAATTTTCTCGTAGTAATTAAATGATGACACTGATTCATAATTATGCATAAGCAAGCCAATTTCACATCCAGGATTGATGTAAAAATAAAATGAGACATTTGAACCTACTTTACCTGCTAACTATGAAATATTAAACAAACCAGTGTAATGTTATCACTGTTACTATAATTATTAATGTTTTTATTTTTAAACTATCCGCTTTGAGGAGAATCCTCCAACCAGTAACACATGTTGGGCATATTTTTCCCCATGAGCTTTAATTCCATTTGTTTTATGCTCTAGAAGGGCAAACGTTATTAGATTCAACAATTTGGTAGAATCTTGGATGCAAGGAGAGTCGCCTCTGGGACATTTCTTTTCTTTTTCTTTCATTTCTTTCTTTTCTTTTTTTGAGACAGAGTCTTGCTCTGTCGCCAGGCTGGAGGAGTGGAGTGGCGTGATCTCGGTTCACTGCAACCTCCACTTCCCAGTTTCAAGCAATTCTCCTGCCTCAGCCTCCCAAGTAGCTGGGATTACAGGCGCCCACCACCATGCCCAGCTAATTTTTGTATTTTTAGTAGAGACAGTGTTTCACCATGTTGGCTAGGCTGGTCTTGAACTCCTGACCTCAGGCGATCTGCCCACCTCAGCCTCTCAAAGTGCTGGGATTACAGGCGTGAGCCACCATGCCCAGCCACCTCTGGGACATTTCTTTTCTCTTCGGAGTGGACGATAGGCTGCATAAGATAGTTCCTAAGGCATGTTAACATTAGTGATTTCACAAAGAAGTTTCCATTCAGAATGGAAAAGTGGCATAAAGCTGTGAGCTAAAATCTCAGAAGGTGTGGGAGGGCGATTGCCTCCGTGGCTCCCTTGCCAAGGGACATGGAAACATTCGGAACTAGGCAGCTATAAACCCTGAGCATTAATATGAATTACCCTTCTTTCTCAGAGTGGTTATTAAGATCTATGCCCTATATGTTACATAGCTTTGTGTAACTGTTACCATGGCACTTAGAGACTTTGTGAGAAATGCTCTCCACACTTTCTGGATCACACACACCTATCAGAAAAAGCTTTTGTGCATATGATCCAACATATGAGTACTTATATACTTGTAAGTTATAAATTATATATATAAGATTATAAGTTATCTATATTTGGTAATAGTTAATAGTTATATATATGTTTATAATATAGGATGTGATATACACACACATATATGAGTATATATATAAAATAGTGAGATATATAAATATAAATATATATTCATATATGTATATATATATAATTATTATTACCTAATAAATTAAGGCACACCACACACAGGCAAGGATCATCATTAAATAAGACATATTTCAAATATTTCTTGATAGCATTGATGTTTCTAATTCTTGTTAGATATGATGAAATGATCATTGCTTTTATGGAAACCCTGCTATGGTGGCTTAACCGAACGTGAATGAACTTTCCTCACATGCCGGGTGTGCAGAGATGGGCCATCCCAGGCTGGCGCAGCAGCAGCAGCAGAATATCCCCAGCGCCTTGAGCTGCTCTGGTCCCTTCGTCCTTTCATTGTGAGCCACTGACATCCTTCCTCATGATGGCTTTTATGTATGCAAGATGGCAGCTTCACGTCTAGTCCCAAGCCTACTTTCCAAGCTGGAAGAAGAGAACAGTGACAAGAGAGCAGAATATTCACTGAGTACTTAGAATGTTCCAGTTGCATTTTGAGGAGATTGTTAAGAGGTTAAGAGATTGCCTCCAAACTACCTTTTGCCTCATTCCCAACCAATGTGGGACTGAGTTGCATGAAGGTCTATGAATTGCTCTAGGTCTCACAGCGAGTGTGGGGAGAGTTAGTTCCGGCAGCTAGATCCGCAGACTCTGGACTGAGGTCCTTTCCACTGCCCACAGCGCCCCAGGACAGCAGGCTGATGGGTGCCATGTGCAGCACCACCTGCGTTCTTCAGGGGGCCTGGGCTGTGCTCCCACCCCTCAGCACCCATGTCCTGGCTGGGGGGTAACCTTAAGATCCACCACGACATACATTTACAGATCACTGTAATCACAGTGGTTCTTGAAAGCAGGGCTTTAAAGGGACTACAGAACGTGTTAAGAATGACTGACTGGGAGATGAGAATGCTCAGTACCGAATCCCTTACCACAAGATGAGTGCACCTGCCACAATGTCATTCAACCTCATTAACCTCCTGCAGATTCTCAGTACATGAAATGACTGAGATTGGGGAAGCTAGTTCTTATCCTCTATAGTAAAAAAATCTGAGTGTATGAGTAGGGGGGAGGCATTATATTCAAATCCCAGCCTGTGCACTCAGGAGCTGTCCTAGCTAAGGTGGGTTACCTAAAACTTTGTATTTTTGTTTTCCTTAAAATGAAGAAGAAGTGTGAACAGAAAGAATGGTAAAGTTGTAACCATATAGACAGCAAGGATATGGCACCTGGGTAAAGGACTTTGGGAAAGGAAGAAGCCAAGTAGCTTAATCATTTTCCCAGAAGTGTGGAAGTTAAGCAAAATGCAGTGGCTCTAATTATGATACGTTACATTTATCTGGCTCCTTTCTCTTAAGAGCGCAGAGTGGTTCTCAGACATTATCTCATGAATTTGCAAATCAGTCCTGGGAGTTAGATAGGAATGAAGCCAGGCAAAAGTTTCTAGCTTACCACTTTACTAAGAGCCAGAAGTTGAAATATTCTCTCCATCCAAGTCAGCACCTTCTGTGCAAACATAAACTACTATATTACTCAAGTCATATTCAGGGAACATCAATTTGCAGATTCTTGTTATCCTTAAAATAACACATACCTTTCAGAAAGGAAGCCATTGTAATAAAAGTCTTTCTTGATTTCTTGACAAATGAAAGTATTTACGGAGTTTCATTCCCAGAAGTGAAATGAGCAAAGAGTGAAATTCAAACCTTTTCACGAATTTAGTGTAATAAATGTGGGATTTATCCCCCAGCACATGGCAATGATTGGAGTATGATTGCGCTTTGAGGACCAAGCTATAAAATCAACATAAAGTTGGTGAAGTCAGAATGCAAAGTTACCTTAAGTACAGAAAATAAGACACAAGCCAACATAGTCTGACTATTGCAATTTAAGACATTGACAGATCGAAAGAAAGAATATGCCAATTAAAAAAGAAAAGTATGGGACGTGGGAAGGACTATTTGCCAGTGACAAAACAAACACTGCAATAGAAAAGGAGACTTGAGGCCGGGCGCGGTGGCTCATGCCTGTAATCCCAGAACTTTGGGAGGCCGAGGCGGGCAGATCACCTGAGGTCAGGAGTTCGAGACCAGCCTGACCAACACGGAGAAACCCCATCTCTACTAAAAATACAAAATTAGCTGGGTGTGATGGCGTGTGCCTGTAATCCCAGCTACTTGGGAGGCTGAGGCAAGAGAATCACTTGAACCTGGGAGGTGGAGGTTGTGGTGAGCCGAGATCACACCATTGCACTCCTTCCTGGGCAACAAGAGTGAAAGTCTGTCTTAAATAAAAGAAAAAAAGAAAAGGAGACTTGATCGATATGTTGCCAATGTTTGATCCCATTAGCAATGCAGTTCCTAGAGAAAATGTTTCCCTTGACAGTCATCCATAGGCACAAAGATAAGGTGGTAAGCATGAGGTCCCCAGGCTTACAGAGTTTGGGAAATGGATCCCCAGCTGGGGGATCAGCTCAGACAGAAAGAAAAGCAATGTCTGGAAGAACAATGAACCCTGCCAGCCTTATTCAGGTTCCCTAAAAGCAGGTCCTAAGTGAGGCTTCTTATATAAGTGATTGACTGATGGAAGAGCTCAGGAGGAGAGGGATGAGGGAGGCAGGTGGGCAGGGGAAGAAAGCTAAGTAGGGACGGGGAGTGTGATAGAGATTAGAGCCTCAGCCCGGTCACAGGGAGCACCTGGAAATGTAAAAGGCGTTACAGAGATGGCCACACTTTGAGAAAAGGGGCAGGCTTTTGTGCCCCTTTGTCAGTCAGTCATTGGCCAAGAGCTGCCTAAGGTATGAGGTGGGGTCATAACCTCCCTAGGAGGACCCCCCTCATTTCAACCAAGTGCCATCCTCTGAGAAGGGCAGCTGTGGCCACAAGCAGCCAGTGCTCATCACATAACTGGGAAAGGCACAAAGGTGAGAACTAAGAACTTCTACTAGGTTGGCTTTTTGTTCTGTTCAGTGACCAAGACAACTTAAAACATTGATGATTTCTCCAAGAACATACATTTCAAGGGCAGTCTTTCTTTCCTTATCTAAACGCATTCCCTTCTCTTTTAATAAACCCATAGGCAGGCAACCCATAAACAAACTAATACACAAAACAAAATAATAAATTAACCAATAATCTGAAACAAGATGTTCAATAAAAGCTATGAAAGTTCCTCTATTCTCCAAGTAGAATGGCTGAGCTACTCCTCTTCCTTCTGTCCACTCACCTAAATGATTTTTCTCAGCTTATGCAACAATTCTCATGAGTATTCACTATATTTCAGGCACAGTTCTCAGCTCCGGACATGTTGGTAAATAATGGAGCCACGGTGCCATGGCTCCACTCATGTCCGGTCTAGTGCAGGACCTTTAAGAACTCAGCCCCAGCTGGCATAGTGTTCCAGGCCCCACAACAGAAAGTGCTGGGCCACAAAGCCAGTGTTTTCTCTTCTGCAGATGACTGCACCTCTTAAGAATCCTTGCTCTGGGTCTCCTTCGCCCATTGTAGGCAAGGTCTTCCACTAGGTCTGCTTGCAGTACTTGCAAGATTTAGACAGATATATGGGCTGGGCCATTCTGGTTGAATGTGTTGCAGCCAATCCTGTTTCACAGCCAATCACAATCTCAGGGTGGCCCAAATGTGGTTTGACAACCCTTCCTTGCAGAGTAGTCATGGATCCAGGCCAAAGACAACGAGCATTTATTTCTAATACACTTTCTGTATTAAAAAGGATTAAAAGTGGGCATTGATATTGGCTGAATGTCTTGGATATGTAGCAGGGCAAATGGTTTTGATTTCACTCCACATGAAAACACCAAGTTCTTCTTTCCTTTTGTTTTTTCTTTGTTTTTCGTAAGGCTTCACACATCTGGTCTCTCTTCCCAGAGAGCTCGCTCTTCCTGTCTTCTTCTCATTCTTCAATCTCACCTGGCTTTTTGACCCAGCACTGTCTCTAGTGGGGTCTGGAATGCAACACCAGGTGGGGCTGAGAGAATCCTTCCCCAACCACCGAACTTGTAGCTTCCTTTCCCTCCCCCTCCTCCTCTCATTGTTCCATTTCTCAGTGTCCTTCTCTTGTTCCTCATAACACTTATTACTACTTTAAATTTTGTGTGTGTGTATGTTTATTCATTTCTGTGACCGCAGACTGAAAGCCCCATGCGTTTTGTCCATTATTCATATGCAATTTTCAGCAGAGTGCCTGACACAGAAAACATACTTGCTAAATATGTAGGAAGCAGTGCTGGGTGCAGTAAGAGTGTGGGGCCTGGAGTTAATCAGCCTGGGTTTGAATCCTGGCTTACCACGTATTAGCTAAGCCTCATCCCTGTAAGCCTCAATTTCCTCATCAATAAAATGGAAATGTTGATAGTACTTGTATTTTTGTGTTATCCTGATATTTAAGTGCATTTCTTCATGTTAAATGCTTTGATGAGTACCTGGCAAGTACTTAATAAATGTAAGCTAGTTTTGTTTGTAGCTTGGATTTAGAGGTAAAATATGTAGAGCTCTGTGAAATGGTGTGATAGATAGGAATAGCTACAGTAACAGGAAGCCACTGAATCAGAATGGCAACTGTTCAGACTCACTGTTATTCTGAAGCTCTCCAAGTTTGTTTTGTTTGCACGTCCATGATCCATTACTATCCTGCAAAGAAGTGAAAATGGGAACTCTTGGGGGTTCCCGGGTGCGCTCCCTGCTGGCCGCGCTGCAGGGTGCAGAGAGGCAGACGCAGGCACGCCGCGGGCCCAGCGGAGCAGGGGCTTGTGCGCCGCTCCCAACAAACAGCCTGAGCGTCCCTAACGCAGGTTTGAGGCGTCACTAACGCCCGGGAGGCTGAGCACTCCTTGGAGGGGGACACCCACTGCTGTTCACCCTAAACGCCTACCTCAAGACAAGACACTGATAAGCACAGACACAAAGGAAACAAGTCTTTGCAAATGGGAAAAGGAAAGACTAAGGGAAATGAATTTATTTTAATAATCCACAAAGAAGAAATGACATCGGAGACACACACACACAAATATTCCAGCCCACGAGACACTGACCATTCAGGAAATCAAAATAGGCTCAAATTGGTCAGATGTCTGCCAAAGGAGAAAACAGAAAATGTGAGAATTTGCCCACACTAAAATTGTTAAAATCATTTGCTTAGATGGACCATTTTGTCTTCATGAAAGACTTTTCCATGCTTATGTGTGAACAGACTTTAAATTCTTGATTTGAGAAGGAATATTTGTAAATTTAAAAAAATACTAGTGGAATTTAAACAAAGTTCCTTGGATGAGACATAATCTTGATTGCTCTGATGAACGCCTGCATCTGAGCATGCCAGGTCACCAGAGTAATCCTGCGAAGACCTTTTGTGCAGAGCAGATAAAATGCAGGTGCTCACTGAGGAGATTCTTCAAGGCCATGTGCACAGGCAGCCCTCACAAAGACTCAACATGAACGTCCGTGGTCTGGGGGCGGGTGGAGGTAAGTGTAGAGATGTTCCTCTCATAGCTGTACTTTTTTTTTTTTTTTTTTGAGAGCAGGTCTTGCTGAGTCGCCCAGGTTGCAGTAATCTCGGCTCACTGCAACCTCTGCCTCCCAGGCTCAAGCGATTCTCTTGCCTCAGCCTCCTGAGTATCTGGGATCATGGGCACGCGCCACCACTGCCTGGCCAATTTTTGTATTTTTAGTAGAGACGGGGTTTCACCATGTTGGCCAGGCTGGTCTCGAACTCTTGACCTCAAGTGATCCACCTACTTTGGCCTCCCGAAGTGCTGGGATTACAGGCATGAACCTTTTTTTTTTTTTTTTTAAATGTCCATTCCATCATTTTCCCAGGAGGGAGACACTGACCCTAGCAGGTTAGCCAGCTTAGCTCAGGGACAAACTAGATAGGCTGTGGGCAGCTTGGAGCAGGGTGCTCCCAGCACACAAGTTAATAAGAGAACCTTGGGGACAACTGCAAGGTTGACTTTGTCTCTGTCCCATCTCTCTAACTTCTGACCTCCTTGCCTGTTCCCCTCACACCCCCTCTGCCTCCTCTCCCCATCCCACATACTTGCTTATTGCACAGAATGACCGGTTCCACAGTTACTTGTATATTCCTTCCAAAATTTTTCCCCTTTATTAAATAAGAAAAAAAAAAGCCATATCTCTAGATCAGAATCAGGAAGCTGCACCCCATGGGCCAAATCTAGTCTGCTGTTTTTATCAATAAAGTTTTATTGGGACACTGCCATGCTCATTTGTTGACATGTTGTCTGTGGTTGCCTCTTTGCTAGGATGGTAGAGTTGAGTTGCTATTTCAACAGAGAGTGTACGGCGCACAAAGCCTAACACATTTATCTTGCCCTTTACAGATAATGTTTGTCAACCCTGCTGCTGATCTCTCTGGTCTCCCCTGTGTTCAATGGCTAATGTCTATCCTGGCATAGTTTTCTCTCTCTCACTAGATACTAGATAGTATACCTAGCTCTCTCACCAGATCAAAACAGTTGGAAGAAAGGTGGTGTTTCCTTTGTCTTTTCATTTCTGCCATACTACTGACATTGCTTAATAAATATCTCATAGAATCAGATTGAACCAATCAAGTCTGCAAAGAGTTCCAATCTACTGTGTCCCAACTCTTCACCAAGCACGGTAATAGGGACTGAGAGTACCAAGATCAATAGGCTCTTAGTCTCTGCCCTGGATAGACTCATAGATTAACAACTAGCTTAGATGAGCTCCTTGAAAAGAAGACAGGGCAGGCCAAACTGAGGGAACAATGTGTGCAGGGAAACAGAGGCAGGAAGGAAGGTGGTAATATTAGGGAATTTCAGGTTGATTAAAATGACTGGATTACCAGCGGAGGGAAGAGGGATGCTGTGAATAGCACTCTCTCTCCTTGATTTTTACTAGTCCTCGCTCAACTAAAGACACAAAGAACTAAGCCGTACTTTAATTGGTGGGATAGAAAAAGAAGAGGAGGAAGAAATAAGAAATGTTTGAGCGAAGAAATCCCAAATGTCTTTGGACCCTCCTATGCTGGGCCTACAGAAATATGCTGACTCTGAATTCCTATTTACTATGAGGAAATATGAGGATCTCTGTTGCAGTTCCCAAATGCTGGAGGAGATCAGTGACATCCTAGGCAGCTGGACTTATACCCTGAGGGGCAGTGACTTTCATTCCCACGATGATCACAGTGACGATGATAATAACCACTACCATCTATTTAGCACTACGTGCAGATCCCATGCTGAGCACTTTACACAACTTTGAATTTACTTAATCATTATAAATAATATGGCATAAGCATTATTATCCTCATTTTCTAGTCAATGAGAGAAGCAAGCGGAGTGCAGGTACAAAAAAGTCCTTGAGTCACACGTACATTAAGGAGGAGAGCTGGTGTTGGAACTGAGATCCGCATAATTTAAAACTCCAGGCCATCCACACTATACAACCCAGATCCTCCTAAGCTAAGCAGTTACTACCTGTTTCTTATGTCAAACCTGTAATAACCTCTCAGGCTGTTCACTTGGCTCATCTCTTTGGGGCATTCTATAGGATTCAACTGGTTAAACCCCTTGTAGTTGTGCAGGATCATGAAACTTGTTCTGGCCAATGAGTTGTGAGTAGAAGTTTAACAAGAGTGATGTGTGCCACTTCTTGGCAGGTCATTGAATTGCTAGTGTGAGCACGTAGGTAGCTCTCCTTCCTTCTTGTATGGTGATTAGTCATGTTCTTGATGGTGGCTACTTCATCAGCCTGTTCACCTAAGAGACTAGGAAGTGCAGAGACTCCTGTCCATCCATAATGGACTCATCATATGTATTAAAAAAAACATGAATGTTTGTTGTTTCAATAAAGCCACAAAGCCTTGAGGTTGTTTGTTACCATAACATAACTTAGTCTATCTTGATATAAATAAAAATTAGAACCTAGAAGTGGGATACTTCTGCAACAAAAACCCTCATCAACATGAAGCAGTGTCTTAGGTGCTTGCCCATAGGCAATTAGAAAATTGTTATCAAAGACTGGAATGAAGTCTAGCCATGTTGTGCATTGGTGAACCAGTCAGTAAAACAACAATGAACCTGGCCAGGCGCGGTGGCTCACGCCTGTAATCCCAGCACTTTGGGAGGCCGAGGTGGGCGGATCGCGAGGTCAAGAGATTGAGACCATCCTGGCTAACATGGTGAAACCCCGTCTCTACTGAAAAAAAAATACAAAAAATTAGCCGGGCGTGGTGGCGGGCGCCTGTAGTCCCAGCTACTCGAGAGGCTGAGGCAGGAGAATGGCATGAACCCAGGAGGTGGAGCTTGCAGTGAGCTGAGATCATGCCACTGCACTCCAGCCTGGGAGACAGAGCGAGACTCCGTCTCAAAAAAACAAAAACAAACAAACAAACAAAAATTATGAACCTGATCAGCTTTTAGCTTCAGACACCTAGAAATATTTCTCAGCAATATTAACAATGACAACAGATTGAAGAAACTGCTAGGCTTCTCCTTTCAGCCACAGTGGAATCAGTGGGACCAGAATTCCCCTCCTGTTATACACAACCAAACAACTGAACAGAAGGCATTAAATAGCTGCGTAGGACTGAAATAAGGAAACAAATTAAGTCAGTCCTATGATTACCCTGGATTTTTCCTGGTGACACTTTCCAGACATCTATAGAGGGAGGAGCACGCTAAGGAGAAAAAGCAGTCCAGGGAGGATGAGGTGACTAGATCTTGTGGAAACAGAGAACTGGAAAGGAGGGAGCCAAGCATAGAAAAACTCCAGAAATCTGCATGGATTTAAGTCTCTTGATGAATAATAGCTACACAGGCAGAAGATGAAACTTGGTGAGGTTGGATGAGTACTGCTATGAAGCTGTGAGCTAAAGAATTCCTAGAGCTGATGCAAGACTGGGAGACCTTTAAGTTCTGGTCAAACCACAGTGGAGAGTCCTTGAACACTCAGGGCACTGAATAGAGAATCCAGAATGGTCATGACTTTACAATAAGGCTCTCCTATACCATAGTAAAAGCTACTCTAAAGCTGTACAAAGCTCAAGCATAAGCCTCCAAGAAACCAGGTTTATCCTTATGTGACTTAACTATCTGAAAGAACAAAGTTTAACACTTTTGGAAGGAAAATAAAAACGCAAAACAAAATCCAGCACTCCACAAAATAAGATTCGCAATATCCAGTATGCAATAAAAATTACTAAATACACAACGAAGCAACCACAAATGACGCAGTACTGGGAGAAACCAATAGAAATAAACCCAGATATGAAAGAGATGATGCTAGAGTACACATGGACTTTATTTTTCTGACACATTGTAATTGTATGTATTCATGGGGTACAATTTGATATTTTCATACATATATGTTGTATGATGACCAAATCTGGGTATTTAGCATATCTATCACCTTATGCATTTATCATTTCTTTGTGGTGAGAATGTTCAACAGCCTCTCTTCTAGCAATTTTGTGATATATTACATAATACCTTATTCTTAACCATTGTCACCCTAAGTGCAATAAAACACCGGAACTTATTCTTCCTAATTGTTACTTTGTACCCGTTGACCAAACTCTCCTCATTCTCCTCTCCCCTTTCCCCTTCCCAGTGTCTAGTAATCACCGTTATATTTTCTGTTTTTATGATACCTAGATATGGACTTTAAAACAACTACTTAAGCATAGTGTCTTTCAATCAGGAGATTCAATCAAGTGATTGAATCAGTAATCAAAAACCTCCAGACAAAGAAAAGTCCAGGTCCAGATGGCTTCACTGGTGAATTCTACCAAACAAAGAAGAATTAACATCAATGATTTCCCAACTCT
The DNA here is from genome assembly GCF_000001405.40 of Homo sapiens. Lineage (NCBI taxonomy): Eukaryota > Metazoa > Chordata > Mammalia > Primates > Hominidae > Homo > Homo sapiens. The sequence goes on from NC_000018.10 coordinate 11,168,939, forward strand.
TCCAGAAAACTGAAGAGAAGGGGACACTTCCTAACTTATTCTGTAATGCCAATATTCCCCTGACATAAAAGCCAGCCAAACACATCACAAAAAAACTAAAATCCTTTGACATAATTCTAGCAAACTGAATCCAACAGCATACTAAAAGGATTATACAACATCTCCCAGTGGGATTTAGCCCACAAATGCAAGGTTAGTTCAACCTACAATAATCAATCTATATAATACACCATATCGATTAAATAAAGGGCAAAAACCGCTCCATTATATTAATAGATTCAGAGAAAGTATTTGACAAAATCTAATAAACTTTTTTGATAAAAATACGGAAAAAAAACAGGAATTGAAAAACATTTCCTCAGCATGATAAAGTACTCTGAAAATTTCACACCTAACATCATACTTAGTGATGAAAAGACTGAACACATCCTCAGTACCCAGAGTCAGGAATAAGACAAGGATGTTGAGTCTCACCACTTCTATTAATATTCAGTTGGAGATTCTAACCAAGGCAGTTAGAAAAGAAAAAGACATGGAAGACACTCAGACCGGGAAAGAAGAAGTAAAACTATATTATAGATGACATGATCTTACATACAGAAAATCCTAAGGAATCCACTAGAAAACCCTCAGAAGTGATAAATGACTACATCAAGGTGTCACAATACACAATTAATATATACAAAAATCAATTATATTTTTATATATTAGCCATGAAGAATATTACAATGAAATTTTTAAAAATACCACTTCTAAAAGACACCAATTTTGAAAGAATAAAACACTTAGAAAAAAATTAACAAAGTATAAAACTTATACTCTGAAAACTGCATGACATCGAGAGAAATTAAAGAAAACCAAAATAAATGGAAAGCCATTCAGTGTTCATGGATTAGAAGATTTACTATTGTTAAATAACAGTGCTCCCCACATTTATCTATGGATTCAACAGATCCCTATCACTGACCCAGCTACCTTTGTTGCAGAAATTGATGAGTTGAACCTAATTCAAATGGAGATGCAAGATACCTACAATAGTCAAAACAATTTTGAAAAAGAAGAACAAAGTTGGAAGACTCACACTTCCCAATATAAAAACATAATAGTAATCTACAGTAATCGATAGAGTATGGTACTGGCTTTAGGACGGCATAGAGATCAATGGAATAAAGTTGAAAGTCCAGAAATAAACTTTACATTTATGGTCAATTGATTTTGATTACTGGCAAAGATATTAAGGTCATTCAGTAGGGGAAAAATAGTCTTTTCAAGAGATGGTTCTGAGGCCACTGTATATTCACATGCAAAAGAATGAAGTTGGACCCTTGCCTTACACCATATACAAAAATTAACTCAAAACAGACTTCAGTCGATATGTAAGAGGTAAAAACTCTAAGACTCCTTGAAGAAACATGGGTATAAATATTTGTGATCTTGAATGAAGCAAGTTTCTTAGATATGTAACTAAAAGCAAAAGCTATGGAAAATAGAAAAGTTAGACTTCCTCAAAATTAAAAAAAAATCATACCTAAGAAGACATGCTTAAGAAAGTGAAAAGACATCCCACAGAAAGGGAGAAAATAATTTCAAATCATATCAGATAAGGTATTTTTATACAGAATACATAAAGAATTCTTACCACTCAGTAATAAAAAAGAAATTTAATCAAACTGAAGAATGGAAACAGATCTGAATAAACATGTTTCCAAAGAAGATATGGCCAATAAGCACATGAGAAACATGATCAACATCATTAGTAATTTGAAAAGTACAAACACAACCTTTAGGATGGCTATATTTAAAAAGACAGACAATTTAAATGTTGAGGTGCTATGAAGAAATGCGAGTTAATGCACATTACTGTTGAAAAAGGCATATAACAGTTTTGAAAAACAGTTTGACAGTTCCTCAAATTTTAAACGGAATTATCATAAGAGCCAGCAATTTTACTCATTGGTGTATGTTCCAGAGAGTTAAAAACATATCTCCATGCAAAAACTCTTCTGAATGTTCATAGCATTTTTAATTTATATCCCAAATGTCCATCATTAGGTTGGAAATAACTCATATGTTCATCATTTTATGAAAGCAGAAACAAAATCATACATTCATACAATAGAATATTATCCAGCCATAAAAGAATAAAGTGTTGATACATGCTCCATCATGGATGAACCCTGAAAACTTTAGACTAAGAGAAAGAAGACAGGCTCAAAAGGCCACATATAATGTACTTCTATTCTTATAAAATGCCCATAATAGGTAAATTCACAGTCAGAATGTAAATTAGTAGTTCCCAGGGGCCAGGGGAAGGGATGAATGTGGATGATTGCTAATATGTATGGGGTTTCTTCTGGGATTGTGAGACATTCTGAAATTAGATAGTGGTGGTAGTTGTATAACTTTGTGAATATACTAAAAACCACTGAACTGTACAATTTCATAGGGCAAATTTTATGATGCATGAGTTTTATCTCAATTTTTAAAAAGTTACTTGACTCCTTAAAGCTAAAAAATGTATTTTGGGTTATGCAACATATGTAAAATTAAATTATGACATAACAATACAAATAATGGCAGGAAAATGAAAATACACTTATAATTTCATAAACTTTTGTAATTCATAAATAGTATAATATCATTTTAAGGTGGACTTTGATAAGTTAAAGATGCATAATGTAACCTCTACTGCTCTAATAAAAAATAAAACATAGACATATGGTTAATATGCCAATAGTGGATATAAAATACAATCTTAAAAATTAATCACATTATAAGAGCTAGTTGAGAAAAGAAGAAAAACAGAAGAAAGAACAGATAGCAAGATGATAGACCTTAAACCCAACCATATTGATAATTACATATATGTAAACAGTCTGAATTCCCATTAAAAATCATGTATTGTCAGACTGAACAAAAAATGAGATCTAATTATCTGTGGTTTACATGAAACCCACTTTAAGTAGGAAAACTCATATAGGCTAAAAGTAAAAGGATATGAACTTATACCATGCAAACAGCAATCAAAAGGAAGGATCAGGCAAATTAGAACAATGAATATTACCAAGGATAAAGAGGTACATTTACCAATGGTAAAAGGATTAATACATCAAGAAGACAAAAAATCAGAATATGTATGCCCCATTACATATTCTTCATCAAAATGCTTAAAGCAAAAAATAAAAGGAGAAATAGAGAACACCACAGTTATACTTAGAGATTTTAACATTACCTGTTAGTAATCAAAAGAACAAGTTTCCCAAATATCAGTAAGGATATGAGAGACTTGTAAAACACTGTAGACTATTTGAGGCTTATTGAGATTTATAGAAGGATGTAATAAGCAATTGAAGAATTCACATTTTTTTCTAGTTAACATGTAGCAAGCACAGATCATATTATAAGTCATAAACAATTACTTGATATAAATATAAGCAAATTGAAATCACTCAGAGTACATATTCTGATCTTAATAAATTAAAAATCATAGCAGATGTTTTGGAAAAATCCCCAAATATTTAGAAATAGTCCATGGAACAAAGAAGATATCACAACAGAAGATATTTGGAATCAAATGAAAATAAAGATACAACATACCAAAACATTGTGAAATGCAACTAAAGTTTAGCTTAGGAGGAACTATATAGCTTGAAATATATACTAGGAAAATAGAAAGATCTAGAATCAACCATCTAAGTGTCCATTTTAAGAAGCTGGAAATAAAAGAGTAAATTAACTCAAAGATGACAGAGGGGAAGGAAATAAGCCTAAGAGCAGAAATCAGTGAAGTAGAAAAATATAAATAGTTATGAACTCAGTGCCGCTTCTTTGAAAATATTTTTTAAAACTTAATAAACCTCTAATTAGGCTGAAAAGAAAGAAGAGCGAGTGAGCAAGGGAGGAGAGAGAGAGACATAAATTATAAATATTGAGAATAAAGAAAAAAATCACTACAAATAATATGGAAATCAAAAGCAAATTAAGAGAATGAAATAAATAATTTTATGCCAAAAATTTAACAACTTAGAAAAAAGGACATTTTTTTTTTTTAATTCCAAATTGTCCAGACTCAGGAAGAAATAGAAAACCTGGCCGGCCGGGGTGGCTCACACCTGTAATCCCAGCACTTTGGGAGGCTGAGGCAGGAGGATCACGAGGTCAGGAGATCAAGAGCATCCTGGCTAACACGGTGAAACTCCGCCTCTACTAAAAATACAAAAAAATAGCTGGGCATGGTGGCGGGCGCCTGTAGTCCCAGCTACTCGAGAGGCTGAGGCAGGAGAATGGCGTGAACCTGGGAGGCGGAGCTTGCAGTGAGCTGAGATCCAGCCACTGCACTCCAGCCTGGGCAACAGAGCGAAACTCCGTCTCAAAAAAAAAAAAAAGAAAAGAAAAAGAAAAAAAAAAAGAAATAGAAAACCTGAATTGTTCCCCATCCATTACAAAAATTGTGTTTTTAATTAAAAACCTTCCCACCAACAGAACTACAATTCTAGATAGTATTAATGGCAAATCTATAAAACATTTAAGGAAGAAATCATACCTATTTTACATGTTTACTTTCAAAAAAATAGAGAAAAAGGCTGGGCACGGTGGCTCATGCCTGTAATCCCAGCACTTTGGGAGGACGAGGCGGGCTGATCACGAGGTCAGCAGATTAAGACCATCCTGGCTAACACAGTGAAACCCCGTCTCTACTAAAAGTACAAAAAATTAGCTGGGCGTGGTGGTGGGCGCCTGTAGTCCCAGCTACTCGGGAGGCTGAGGCAGGAGAATGGCATGAACCTGGGAGGCCGAGCTTTCAGTGAGCCGAGATCGCACCACTTCACTCCAGCCTGGGAGACAGAGCGAGACTCTGTCTCAAAAAAAAAAAAAAAAAAAAAAAAAAAAAAAAAGAATATTAAACTATCAGGAATCAAGAATTTTAGTGTAAGAAAAATAAGTTGGGATATAAGATAAAATGATTTAGGAAAAACAGTAGTGCTAAATTTGAATTGCAAACATCAATATTAGCTCATGATTTTAAAAAATGTGTATTTATAGCTCTCTTCTGACAGGGTCAAGAAGCAATAATGTCCCAGTGCCAATTAGCATACCAGTGCCATTTTTGGCTTTCTAAGAACTATTTTTCAGTAGATGAAGAAATTCAGACTCAGAAGAGAAATGGCTACCCCAGATCCGGGACAAAGAAAGTATGAAGTAAGCTTCTGACATCTTGTGACAGAAAACAAAGGCTCAAAGAATGACACGGATTGGCTCAAATAACCCAGGAGACGGTTGGAAGGGATCTGCCCAGGTGAGCTTTGGGAATTTTGAACATTAACAGGAACAATCACTGATTTGAATCTTGGATCAAAAAAAGAACATACTATAAAAGATGTTCTTGGCAGGGCGTGGTCGCTCACGCCTGTAATCTCAGCACTTTGGGAGGTCGAGGTGGGTGGATCATTTGAGGTCAGGAGTTTGAGACCAGCCTGGCCAATGTGGTGAAACCCCGTCTCTACTAAGTATACAATTAGCCGGGTGTGGTGGTACACGCCTGCAATCCCAGCGACTCAGGAGGCTGAGGCAGGAGAATTGCTTGAAACCAGGAGGCAGAGGTTGCCAAGTGAGCCAAGATCGTGTCACTGCACTCCAGCCTGGGGGACAGAGCAAGAAAAAAAGAAAAAGAAAAAAAAAAGACATTCTTGGGGCTTTGGGGAAAATTTGAATATGGATTGAATGTTAAATTATATTTTTAAATTATTGTTTTTTAATTAGATGTAATAATGGTATTGTTGCAGAAGGGCCTTATTTTTAGGACATACCTGCTGAACTCTTTGGAGTGAAATTTCATGATGTCTGTAATTTATTTTCAAATGCTTAAGACAATAAAAATCGTATATATACACATATCAAATATATTATACATAATATATATGATTACATGTGTACACACACACAGAGACAGAGACAGAAACAGAGGAAGAGGAAACAAATGTACATATATAATAAATGTTAAAAGTTTCTGGATCTGCATGGAGGACATACAAGTATTTATTGTATTATCCTTTCAACTTTTTCTATACAAATAAAAATTTTCAAAAAGTTTATGAAAAATTTAAGTATTAAATAATTTCAAAACAATGGAAAATTCCAATGCTTTTTCATCAAATATGTAGAAAATGCTCAATAAAACTCTGTTGACATTAAGATAATCCTTTTAATTTAGTTATCTCCAAGGGAAAAACTGCTAATAGGATTAGATTTTCGGAGAAAATTACGCCTCATAAATATTTAGACCTTAGAAAGCCATGAAAGCAAAAAGACTTCTAATTTTTGAACAGTTTATGTACTTTTGTCTATGCATTTTTAAATGACTTTAATGTTTAAGATTGTTCATATGTCTCATAGGTAAAGCTTCTGATTTTCAACACTTTAAAAAATAAAAAAGATTAAGATTATTTTAAGAGGTTTTATGAAGTTTATGAGAACTATGCAGCAATTTTGTGACTGTGTAGCTTGGTATGCACCTAGTATTTTGGTTTGGTAATTACGGAGCTATGGTATTTAACATCATAGTTTTACAGTTTTGTAATTGTATTCTGCAGCCAAGAGGAGAAGCAGCAAACCATTTTTCATTCCCCTTTTTCCCTAAGAGAAAGAATAGAACAGCAATGAAGGCATTGTATTAAATTAATATGAATCTGCAAATTCGGATGAATATAAAAAGTAGGTCTTCCTGGCTTTGAAAGGACTTGCTGTAAAATGTTCCCATAACTCTCCATCACACTTTTTCCTTTCCTCGTCCCCTTTTCTCTTTCCTTTCCCCTTCCAAGTTACAGCTTTCACTATTTCCTTCAAATTCAGTTTCTCTGGAGCATTTTCAGAATGGAATGGAACAGATACAAGTGACTGGGATTGTCCCATGACAAAGATGAGAGAAAAAAATATTTCTGGGAGATCAAAGACAAACAGGCCTCAGCACACAGATTTCGGTCAGCACAAGTTTCTCTGCCAATTTATGCCCAGCCACGGGGGCCCCCTTCACCATCCCAGTGAAAGAGCAGGTCTTTGTTCCATCTGTATTCCTACCTCTGCTTCCCTCTCCTTTTCTTTGCCTCCTTTGCTGCCCCATTGTCACTTTCACTTCAATATACAGTATCATTGAGCCCAGATAGTACATCCTGGACCCTGGAACCCCAGGCCCGTGTCTCCTTTCATTACTTAAGGCCCTCGAAAGACACAGAGGTTAGAGTGGGTGACCAGCCTAAGGAAGGCAGTCATGAAGAAATCTCTGAAATTAAAATGTGTTGAAAAATTCCCTGTAGTCCTGTGTTCTATGTATAAACAGGATTAAAGTTATTTGAAAAGTAAAGGAAACCACATAATCACATGTATATCAAATGCAAAGCAAAAATTGTGCTATAGACATGTTAGCAACAAAGGAGAGACATAGAGCTCGAAAACAATAACTATGTTCCGACCATGAAGAGCTTCGTGAATCTCTCAGTCACCGTCAGAGTACAGACTCTCTTTTCATAATATCTTACACCTGTAATAGCAACTTAAGATTTACAACCTGGACCCCAGACATAGCTTGGCAAGTGCCTCCTCATTTAGGATAGTAATATTAAGTGTCTCTTGGAATGTTTGCATTTCTCAGGGTATGCCACTTGGTAAATTCCATGATGATTTGGCAAAGTCTGTCCACGCCCTCCCTCTGTAAGGCTCTCAGGATTGCCATCTGAAGTGATTCCATATGACTCAGACCATCCCTGGCCCCCACATCTCCTGCAAAAAACATCAGCAGGCAGTGCAAAGTTGAATAAAGCTCAAGAGAACCATCAGGTGATAATGCATTTTCCTTGGAACATCAGTCCTGAAATAACCTCGAGTGTCCGGGTCAGGCAATTCCCCTTGGAAGCATCAAATAGGCATTATACCCTGGAAAACAGAAACACTGGACTGCCCCCAAGAAGAAACTGAAAAGATACCAAGTTAGCAACGCCACAAAGCCACAAGCAACCTGCCTCCTTCCTCCTCTCCTGCTCTTTTGATTAAAACATCAGTCATATGCACAGTGTTCAGAAAACATTGCATTATGATCTTTATCATGGAACTTATCACTCCCAATGCTGAGTGCCTCTTTCCTCACTGTCACCACAAGGAAATTCTGCACTCCTTGATGGAAAAGGGCTGTGTCTTTTTCTTTTTTCTTTTTCTTTTTTTTTTTTTGAGACGGAGTCTTGCTCTGTCTCCCAGGCTGGAGTGCAGTGGCGCGATCTCAGCTCACTGCAAGCTCCGCCTCCTGGGTTCATGCCATTCTCCTGCCTCAGCCTCCTGAGTAGCTGGGACCACGGGCACCCGCCACCATGCCCGGCTAAGTTTTTGTATAGTAGAGACGGGGTTTCACCGTGTTAGCCAGGATGGTCCCGATCTCCTGACCTCATGATCTGCCCGCCTTGGCCTCCCAGGGCTGTGTCTTTTTCAACTCTGTGTACCCAGAACATAGTAGGGTGTTTGGCACATAGCAGGCACTCAATATATAGCTGCTGACTGAATAAATGTTAAATGGAGGACTTGTCAGGTAGTCTGTTGGAATAAGGACATTAACACAGAAATCATTGTGAGCACTTCCTGCTTTGCAGGCACTATGTTAGAAACATGTTTACACTGTTTCATTTAATCCTAACAGTAACTCTGCAAGACAGGTGACTTCATCTCTGGCTGACAGAGGAGGTTATTCAAAGAGGAAGAGGTCAGACAGATGACCACGATCAAGCCCAGAGAACAGCAGAACCCCGTCTCTCGGGTGCCATAGACCTGGCCCATCCTGTCCTCAAGGGGCTGGATTAGCAGAGAGAAGGCACAGGTGACCAAATGGCCAAGAGCTATGACACGTTTCGCCCTGATTTCTGCCTGGCTGTGGTGGAGATCAGTGCTAATAGTTATGAGGAGGGAGAGAGGGATGAGAAGGTTTAATCTGAGTTGTGAGAGACAAGGAGAGTGGGAGAATCTGGCTGACCTTCATTATCTGCAAAGACAGGAAAGACTCCGATGGGGACACAAGGTGGTTCTGACTGAGGTCAGGCTGCCCTCAGGAAGGCCGGGGTAAGAAGTCCAGGAGCCGAAGTGGGAGAGTCCGGCTCCTCTGCTGGATGGAGGTGCCCTAAAGGGGGTCGCAGAGAGGCGGAACCTCATCAGATTTGCGATTCAGATTACTTTCTCTCTCTCTCTCTCTCTCTCTCTCTCTCTCTCTCTTTCTTTCTTTCTTTTTCTGGTGTCTTGCTCTGTCACCCAGGCTGGAGTGCAGTGGCGTGATCTCGGCTCACTGCAAGCTCCGCCTCCCGAGTTCAAGCCATTCTCCTGCCTCAGCCTCCCGAGTAGCTGGGACTACAGGGGCCCGCCACCACGCCCGGCTAATTTTTTTGCATTTCAGTAGAGACGGGGTTTCACCGTGTTAGCCAGGATGGTCTCTATCTCCTGACCTCGTGATCTGCCCGCCTCGGCCTCCCAAAGTGCTGGGATTACAGGCCTGAGCCACCGCGCCCGGCCCCAGAATACTTTTTCTAGCAACAGTCTGGAATGGTACTGATCCTGGAGACAGAATATGAAAAAGATCCTAGTTAAAATTGGAAAGAAAGATGAATGAATGTGGGGGTAAGGAACAGAGAAGAATTAAGGATGATCGCATTTCAGTGAAGAAGTGGAGAGGTTGATTGCAGAGGACTCAAAAAAAGCTCCATACGTAAATAAAGTAACATGATCAGATAATGTTTTGAAGAATTAACATATGTATTGTATTTTGATTCTGTGATTCTTCTCATCAGGGAGTTTGCCAGTGGCCCCAAGGGCCCAAGGGGAATTGCCAAGCCCATGTCATTCACTGCTGCAGAAAATCCCTGAAGACATAAGTGGTCCAGCAGTTTTTGCATCCAGGTCCTTTGATTGTGTTATTCCTTGTCACTTTGTCACAGTTTTCTCTGACTTAAATCAACCAGGAGAATAAATCAAACAGCAAGAGTAACCGACACAACGATTTCTGCCCAGCACAACCCACAGCTGGCTGAGTCTAGGTTCCATGGAGCGGGAGGGTGTGGGTGGCTAGCCATCCTTGTTACGCAATGGCAAGGTTGCTGGCTGAACGTCTTGTTGATGAGGTTTCTAATTTAAGGGGCCTGATAGAATGCTTATTTAGGATTTTGTAATGTGAGAAACAGACAAGTTTTGGTTACACTGGCGCTCGGCAGAGATAAGAAAATACACACGTGGTTCAATGCAGCCTTTCTTGTGGCTCTGGGGCCTGGTGCCCTTTCACAACTAACTTGCTGCCTCAGGACAGTGAGGCCATGTAAAAGCACCCCGTCCAGCTCACAGGAATCCCAGGAGGCTTTACAGTCACCATTTAGAGTTCTCCTTTGGGGTTAGTGACGGCATGAACGCCCACAGCTACGTACCAACTGAAGTCAGAGACGTGGTTTTACAGTGGAGCCAACTGACGTCGAGGTGGGCATTTCTCCAACATTGCCACCTCTGCTTGGTGCAGACAGGAGAAGCCATGTGGCAGCTGTCACAGATGACTGCAGTGGGAGTGTGGAAGGTGAGGACTTATAGGGGACTACCCAGGGAATGGTCCACATGACCCTTTGTGGGGCCTTACTAATGCCAGGACCTAAGGGGTACCATGTAGAGCTTTGTAAATTAAATATAAATAAAATAGGGTGGGTGCAGTAGCTCACGCCTGTAATCCTTATTCTTTGGGAAGCTGAGGTGGGAGGCTCACTTGAGCCCAGGAGTTTGAGATCAGCCTGGGCAACACAGGGAGACCCTATCTCTACAAAAAATACAAAAATGGGCTAGGCATGGTGGTGTGTACCTGTGGTCCCAGCCACTCAGGAGGCTGAGGTGGGTGGATTGCCTGAGCCCAGGAGGTTGACGCTGCAGTGAGCCATAATCATGTCACTGCACTCCAGCCTGGGTGACAGAGAGAGCTTGTCCCTAAAAATAAAAATAAAAATAAAAATAAAAATAAAATAAATAAATAAATAAAAGGAAAAGATACTGCCCTTTTGTAGGAACTGGTCATTCTGCATTCTTTTTCATCTGGAAACCTCATTTCTCTCCTTAAAGCTCATAGTTGCAAGGACAGAAGGACTGCGTTACCTATAGAATAAAATCTTCATGCCACAACACCTATGGCTTAAGGAACGAGTGTCCAAGAGAGCCACAGGAAAAACCAGGTTGGCATGAGATTGCAGTAGGCTTCATGAACAAGAAAGTTACAGCTACATCCAAAGGAGATTTTCTGGCTTCGCCCTCTAAAGCAGGCAATGAAACCCAGGGCTTAAACCCCAGGGCCAGTGACTCCACAGGGTGCAAAACCGCCTGGGCATGATGATTTATGGACCTGTCAAACACTCAGCAGCTTTCTGGTGTGTTTAGGGCACAGCATCTCAGAGTGCATAAGTCATTATTATGAATGCTGGGCTGGGGTGCGTGGGGACGGCTCTCAGGCCCCTCCATGGGCTCACAGGCCTTCTTTGTTGAGCCTGGCAGAGTCAATAGCAGTAAACTCTGAAGCCCTCATTCCTCTTTGAGTTTACTTTACATTTGACTCAGAAAATAAAGTCAATCAAATGTTCTAAAGATCATATTTGGTTCATATTTCGTCCAGACTTGCTCAGTTTTAGAAAAACAAACTCATTTTCAAGGAACTTGATCTTTGTCAATTTCACCGAATCGTTCATATCAAAATATAGGAGTAACTTAACAAGGATATTATTAAATTTATATGCATTCATAATATATGCTTTGCTTTAAAAGACAAATAAGATGAGAAAGGTCTTTAGTGATTTTTAAGAGTCAGCCTATGGGACACAGCAATAAATCCATTCATTTTACGAAGATATATTCTGTCAGTAGTGATATTCTTCTTGAGAAAAATCCATCTCAAGCATCTAACAGAAGAAGTCGAATTAGCAGAATGCTGTGTGTTCCAAGAGTTTAATGATATTTCTGTTATTTTTGCTTTAAATCCAGAATAAAAAGAGGTGGGTTACCATTAGATCAGTAATTAGGCCAATTCATTCAGCATGATTTAATCTATTATACAACTAAATTACAGTACTTTTGAATCCAAACACCATTTAGAACAATCTTTCTATTACAAAGACCAGGTTACAGTTTAGGATATTAGGGAGAAAAATGTAACCCACACACCTCCTCTGTTCATTGCATAGTAACTGAGCCTAGGTGACCAATTTGTGCCAAGCGATGAACCTTCCAAAAGTCTCCTTCTGGTGATGACTTCTCTTGCCCTGTGGGGCCTCCAGCCAGTAAGAATAGCGGCAAATCTGGGGGCTTCATGGGGTTGTGGGCTTAGAGCTGGGAACGGGACAGGAAGCCACAGGGGCTGGGCAATGATGAGAAGCAGAGACATTTCTGTCTCCATCCCATCCCATTTCATTCTCCTCCTGGCATGACACCAATAAATATTCAGCTGAAAGATTGATTCACAGATGAGAAGTGAATGTGCTTTTCCCTCACTGCACTAAGGAATTAATTATTTGTATTTGTTTATCTATTTTTTTCTATTTTCTTTTTTTTTAATTATACTTTAAGTTCTAGGATACATGTGCAGAACGTGCATGTTTGTTACATATGTATACATGTGCGATGGTGGTTTGCTGCATTCTTCAACCCATCATCTACATTAGGTATTTCTCCTAATGCTATCCTTCCCCTTGCCCCCCAACCCCCAACAGGCCCTGGTGTGTGATGTTCCTCTCCCTGTGTCCACTTGTTCTCATTGTTCACCTCCCACTTATGAGTGAGAACATGCAGTGTTTGGTTTTCTCTTCCTGTGTTAGTTTGCTGAGAATGACGGTTTCCAGCTTCATCCATGTCCCTGCAAAGGACATGAACTCATCCTTTTTTATGGCTGCATAGTATTCCATGGTGTATATGTGCCACATTTTCTTTATCCAGTCTATCATTGATGGGCATTTGGGTTGGTTCCAAGTCTTTGCTATTGCAAATAGTGCTGCAATAAACATACATGTGCATGTGTCTTTATAGGAGCATGATTTATAATCCTTTGGGTATATATCCAGTAATGGGATTGCTGGGTCAAATGATATTTCTAATGCCTCTTGCTCATGTTAGACTTTCTTTTGGCCATCAGTACACACCCTTGACCATACTATACATTTAGATTAGTAAAATGTATGAAAATACATGAATAAATCAATGGTATAATTGATGACAATGGAGGCTCAGGAGGAATTTGTTGATTTTCTTCTGGCATTAGAAAAATCATCCTCAGAGCCTATTATCATATTACATGTGAAGAATAACAAAGAGTTGGAATGCTTTATAAATAAGATTTATATATGTATATATTTCTTATATAAAAATGTGTATATGTGTGTGTATATATATATATAAATTATATATATAAAATTTCAGGGACCTCTAAAGCAGTTCTTTGCATAACACTGTGTGACAGCTGGAGGACTGGACATTCAAAGAATATACTTCAGATCCCAAATATTAAGACACCTTTCAATTCCAGGAATATCTACTCTGTATGAGACTGAGCTTGTTTGCAGGGACTCCCTTTCTCCACCCAACTCACAGATGACCTTCCTTGAAAGTGATTGTGAAGGAGACACAATCAGGACCTCATAGAGGACCTTGTGTTTGCTTTGTAACCAAATCTTGACTTTTTATTGATGTAGCCAATTTCATGTTAAAAAAGGTTGGGCTTTTACCCAATCTGTTACACTAATCATACTCATACATTCAGAGCAAGGTGCTTGAGAAGTAGACTCTTCTTTGGAGACAAATTGGGTCCCAGCCAAGGGAGGGCAGGTGGAGTCCTTTCTCTCTGACCTGGCTTGGAGAAACCATTGGTTTTAAGGGTCAGAGCCCTGCAGAGAAGGAGCCTGGGGGAGACCTGTGGTGTCTGGGACTTCTACTTCCTTACCCCACATTCCAGCTACTGCTTGTTCCTAAACACTTCTGCAAGAGTGAAAAGTCTCCTTAATTTATATTCTGGAAGTAGTATCATCTGGGGAAGACTGCTGAAGAAAAATAACACCACCATGAGCCTAAGCAGGGGTCAAGGATTTCTATTTTACAGAAGAGCTCAGGCCAATTTTGAAATGATTAGGAAACTGTTCTAGAGTAATCACCCTCAAGCCTTTTAAACTACAGCCCACTGGAAGAAATAAATTTTACTTCTAGACCATGCATACACATGTGTGAAACCAGAAACAAATTATTATTATTATTATTATTTTTTTTTTGAGATGGAGTCTCGCTCTGTCACCCAGGCTGGAGTGCAGTGGTGCAATCTTGGCTCATTGCAAGCTCTGCCTCCCGGGTGCACGCCATTCTCCTGCCTCAGCCTCCCGAGTAGCTGGGACTCCAGTCATCCCCCACCACGCCCGGCTAATGTTTTGTATTTTTAGTAGAAATGGGGTTTCACCGTGTTAGCCAGGATGGTCTCGATCTCCTGATCTTATGATCTGCCTACCTTGGCCTCCCAAATTGCTGGGATTACAGGAGTGAGCCACCACACCTGGCCCAGAAACAAAATTGTGCGGAATGATATTTATCTTTACCATATATGATGTAGTCTGTTTGCGATTTTTTCTATTTTGTTAAAAAATTTTTTCTGGTTGTGACCCATTAATGGGTTGAAACCTCCAACTCAATAGATAATATGTTTCTAATGTCACCTTCAAGAGAGGTTATTGTAATGAGCAAACTTCTTCCATTTCGATTCTATCATTACACATTGTAACCATCACTATTACTTTTTTCCCTGTGTCATTTAACCCCACTGAGAATTACTGGAAATTGTTCAGTCAATTTTTCTGCTTAACTACCATTCAAGCCAAGAATGTGGTATGTGACTCAGTGCGCATAGGCAAGAGTTTAGCTTTTCATTATTTTCAATAGAGTCTTACAGAAGTGGGAATGATTTACAAGTTTCAGTTTGTAGCACATGTCATGCTGTGGATCAAATGTATAAAATAGAAGAGAATTGAGGGAGGCTATCTGGAAGAATATTAGATATGACAAGTACTTTAGGTACTTATATTTCTAAGATCTCTGAGTCCTGGAATATTTAAAAGGACAAAAAAAGGAACAGTGTAAGGCTGATATAAAAATATTTTAAAACAATGAAATGATTCCTCAGGTATACCATAGAAATTATTAAATGTTAAGTAAAGCTTAGAAGAAATCCTAGAAATGATATATTCCAAGGTAATCATGCTCATTTTCCTTTAGATTGGTACAGTAAAATAGAACAGCACACTCATGTTCCACTTCTTTGATTATCCTTTGTAAAATTCTATATTTCAAACTCCTAAGGAATGGCACTGACATTTTTGCAAGAGTAAATATGCTTAAAAATTTGTTATGCAATGCATGGTAGACCTATTCAGGCTCAGATAATGTAAAATGAGAAATAAACTACACTTACAAAACCACTTTGGACTGGTCTCTAAAGCTAACCTTCTATTTAAATGCCTAATTTAGCTTCTTGCCATATATTAGTTTCTGCCAAATAATCTTGATGTACCAAATGTTCAGAAACAGATATGCAATTGTGGACTAATCAACTGATTCAATTCACTTTAACTTTTTCTCGAGACGAAGTTTCACTCTTGTTGCCCAGGCTGGAGTGCAATGGCGTAATCTTGGCTCACTGCAACCTCCGTCTTCTGGTTTCAAGCGATTCTCCTGCCTCAGCCTCCCGAGTAGTTGGGATTACAGGCGCCCGGCACCACGCCCAGTTAAATTTTGTATTTTTGGTAGAGACAGGGTTTCACCATGTTGGTCAAGTTGGTCTCAAACTCCTGACCTCAGGTGATCCACCCGCCTTGGCCTCCCAAACTGCTGGGATTACAGGCGGGAACCACTGTGCCCGGATTCACTGTAACTTTTTAAATTAAGAGTGATAGTAAGAGTAATAACATTCATGATACTTTCCATGTTTTAGAATTAGGCAACCACATAACCAGCTAAAAACAGCTCTTGATTCTAAATGGATTCCAGGTCCTATACATAATCCTTAACACCAACCATAAAACTAAGAACAGAGCAGGTGTTTAAAAGCTAATAATTAATTGATAACTCCTGAAGATTTCATTGTAGAGATTTTGTTTTTTAAAATGACTAGAAAAGAAATATGGACAAGAAGAAGAGAGGCTATTGTTAATTTGGTTTTCATGAAAAACAACCCAAAGCTAAATAAAACATTTTATCTGTACATGTTATTCAATCACCAGACTGTAACTTTCCAGAAATATTCTTTTCCTTTTTTTAATTTTTTCTTTTCTTTTTGTTTTTTGAGATAGGGTCTCACTCTGTCTCCCAGGCGGGTCTTGAACTCCTAGGCTCAAGCAATCCTACTGCCTCAGCCTCCCGAAGTGCTGGGATTGCAGGTATGAGCCACCATGCCTGGCCCCAGAAATATTCTGAACGGTAAGTAGTAAGAACATGTTTGTATATCAAAGTTACCAAACTAGAAATTCCTTTGACAGTATATAGGCAAAAAGTTTTCATTGTTTTCATAAGGAAATACTTCTAAAAGTGCCATATTATCAGGAAGTTAATCAATCAATAATAAACTATAATGTTTTGATTAATTTTGGTGAAAATAGCTATAGTTTAAAAAAGACTAGTTTCATCAGCTATAAAAATAATAAATTTCAGTAGGAAAAGTCCCACAGTTTCCACAGAACTCTGTAATAGGCCCGAGGGAACTCATGAAATAGAAAGAAAATAATAGAACTAAAAGCATAAAATCGGTACTTATTCCCAGCATAATTCATGATTTAGTAAAGAGGAAACATTGACTCGGAACACAATTTGAATGATGCTTAATAATCTGATGAAAGAGTGTATAAAATTTTACATACTGCTAAAGTGGAAAAAGGAAAAAAATTACCAATATACCAATATGCTTTGAATGATGAGTATAGGCTTTTTAAATGAAAAATACCTACTTATTATGGAAATGAGAACTCCATGACTTTATTTAGAATAACAGATTTAATCACGCTAATTACCAAGTCAGTTCCCTCACATACTTATGTCAAAGCATCCCATTGTTTTGATTGTACCCTAAATGTACAATTATTGTTTGCCAACTAAAAATAAATTTTAAATGTAAATAGGATTGCAGATTTAAAGTTAAACATTCATTGCCTTACTATGCAAACAATTAAAGTACAATTTATCTTTTATCTTAATTATTACAATTGTAACTTAATAGGGTCTGCCTTCCCAAAAGTCTATCCAACTTTTAGATCATGATTCTAAGTGTTGGGAAAACCATTCATTTTCATTACTTGTCTAAAAGGTTTCAAGAGCTCCCATAAGCTAGGTCATCAGCTTGGAAGTCATACAGTAAAAGAAAAGTTAACCACAAAATGCAAACTTGCTTTTAAGTTCGTAGGACAGTTTATAAAGGTTACTCTCATACTTACTGCAAATTGAATCACACAAAAGTCAATACATAAAAATATATTGTCTTTGTTCGATCAGGATGTTTTCTCAGCCTATGCCAACTTTTTACACAGATCTCTGCAAAGTCAGCAAATCAACATGGAATTCAGATCTATGGAGCCTTTGATTCACTTTGGGGGATACGGGCGAAGAGAATTATAATAATACTGCGGCAGCCTAAGTGTTGAATAATCTAAGAGATTTTTTATTTATTTAGCAGAAAGCATAGAGAGGGGAGCATTATAAGAAACACTTTAGGTAGCTGGTTTTTGTTTGTTTGCTTGTGTTCTTTTCTAATGAAAACAATCTTATCTATGCCAAATTGAGGAAAACTGTGTTCTAGTTATTCTTTGTACCAGAAAAATGTGCTGATATACAATATTAATATCATCCCATAATTAGTTTATACCAAGATATTTATAAGAAATCTTGAGTTAAATGGTACAAGAATTTTGTGATTTACCAAGGGAGAAAAATTTACAGTGATAAAGGTAAAAATGAGCACCTTCAAAGACGTGATGTCTTTCTTCCTCCTCTCATCCTCTTTGGGCTCACTTATTTCATGAAGCTCTTCACTAAGCTGTGAAAATCTTGACCATTCGCCCTCAGACCAAATGCGCTGGCTCTGAGCAGCACTTTGTGGATTGCTGCCCTTTACAGCTGTAAAACCACGAACACATGGCATGGCCTCGGCCTTCAAGAGTGTGTACACAGCACACTCTTGAAGCACACAGCAGCATCTTCTGAGATGGTTTTCTTCCCCAAATAACTTATGAGGACATAGCCATGTTGCAGGAACAGATTAACAAGAAGGCCAGTGCTGAGCCTAGTGTAATCTTTCAAATTTCTCCAGAATTGTTTTGTAAAAAGCTACAACTGGCGAGAGACAACTTCCTTTATTCTTTCCGGCACTGATTCAATTTGGAACTTTTGTTCCATTTCTAGTCCACACGGATGTGCTATATTTACCTGTAGGTTACAATTGTACAGAAGTGTTTTAGCATGATGGCTGTTTTTTAATTTGAAAATACTACTGCTGTTGAAAAATCATTCAACTTACAGTCGGAACACTTGGCCCTTAAAACCTAATTGGCAGGCAGGCTAAATCACGGCCCCTGAAGATGCTCATGTCTCAATTCCCAGAACCTGTGAATATGTTGGGTTAAACGGGAAAGAGGAAAGCATGGTTGCTAATCAGCTGACCTTAAAATAAGGGGATCATCCTGGATTATCCTTGTGGGTCCAGTGTAATCAGAAGGTCCTTAAAAGTGAAACAGGGAGGCCAAAGAAGAGAGTCAGCACGAGCAGTCACGACAGCGAAGGGAAGGAAGAGATGTGGTGTCACCAGCTCGGCAGATGGAGGAGGGGCCTCTGGAAGCTGGAACAGGCAAGAAGATGGATTCTCTTCTAGAGTCCTCAGAAAGAAACACAGCCCTGCTGATGCCTTGATTTTAGCTCAGGGAGTCCCTTATTAGACTTCTGGACTACACAACTCTGAGCTATATGCTTTTCTTGTCTTAAACCTCTACTTTATGGCAATGTGCTACAGCAGCAGTTAAAAATGTAATACGGGCAGTAGGTCTGCTTTCTAGAGGCAAAAGTCACAAAATCTCTTTGTGATCCAATTCTATTATCTGTCAAATAAATAGGTTACATCAGGGTCCTTCAAGCTTTGCAAACAGCAAATGTCATGAAGTATGAAGCCCTTTTGGTAGGAGCAAATATGTAATTGAAGAGCCACTGCTGCTGTTCCCAGCAAGCCCAGAGAGAATGGAGGGGGCAGACACCATGATGGAGACAGATGATGGCAGTAAGAGGTGGGACCTTTGGAAGGTGATTAGGTCATGGACACAAAACTCTCATGAATGGGATTAGTACCCTTTTCAAAGAGACCCCAGAGGGCTAGTTAGTCCTTTCCACCATGAAGGCACAGTGAGAAGGGAGCACCTATGGGCCAGGAAGTGAGCCTCACCAAACACCAAACGCTGGCACCTTGATCTTGTTCTTTCCATCCTCCAAAACAGTGAGCAATAATTTTTGTTGTTTATAAACCACCCAGTCCATGGCATTTTGTTGTAGCAGCTGGAGCAGACTCATATAATAGCAATCTTTACTGAGTACTTGCTATGCACTGGACACTGCAGTATCCTTCCATGGATATGGGATTTTTTTTCCCCACAAAGTTTCTCCCTGATGGATTCAAAAGTGTTCTTTGTCGAAGACATTGCGCCAGACCAAGAAGGCTCTAGGGCCCTCAGAAACATGGCAGACAGAGAAAGATAGAGGACACAGCAGAGGCCAGAGCCCAGGGAGGATACAGCACAATGCCACCGCCACAGGCGTCTGGGTAGGAGGGCCCAGCGGGTGACTTGACCAGCAAGGCCAGCATTGGAGTGACAGAGATCCTTGCCAAGTCCTGTTCCTGGCTTCTTCTCCAAGCCTGTGTCATGGTGTGGCTACATGTCTCGATGAGAGCAGAAGGTGGGAGGAGTTAGAACCATCTTCTTTGACGTCAGTCTGCACCCCTCCTGCAGGAGGACAATGAGCTCCTGTGAGGCTTTTGTCCTTGGGTGTGGTGTGGTCACCCTGATCCTGAACACCATCAGGGCAGGCCTGAGGCTGGGATCCCAGGCTGCTTCCCCAGGACTCCACCTGAGGTTTCTTCATCAGGGTCGGCCCTTCAGGACTCCTGGCATCTGGAGACCATCCTGTCGACCCCCTGGAGAGGTCAGGCCGGAGCCTCGACACCGACGCACTGCCACGGAGGGCTCCTGCTTCACCAAGCCTCAGGGAGCCATCCTCTCCTTCCCATCTATTTCATTAATTCTCGCCGTAACTTTAGGAGATAGGTAGAAACATTATTCCCATTTTATCTGTATGAAAACTTGGGTTCATCGGTAGCCTTTGGTCCCAGGTCACATACCTGTTATGTGGCTGGGCTGCAACTTGCACCCTGACACCTGCACAGTGAGCTGACATTCTCAAATCAATCACTCCATGATTCTGCATGGCCAGCAGTTTATACATTCGCCAAATAGTTCATCAACCAATAAATCTTTACTGATCACCTGCTATGTGCCAGGCACTATTTCAGGTAACAAGGATATAGCAATAATCAAAAAAAGATAATGCCCAAGCTCTCAAACAGCCTGTAATTAGTAGCAGCTGATATAATCAAGAAATATTTATCAAGTGCTTATTGTGCTAGGGAGCTGACTGAATACTGGAGCCTATTAAATCCAGTATATGCGTCCCACACATAGGCCTGGATGGTCATTTCATCTAAAATCCCTGTCTTCTGCATGATGCGTGAAGTTGTTTACAGGTAGATTGAGTTGCTCACTGTTTGCCATAGGGAGTGGCTCTTTTTCTACAAAACAACACACAGAGAATTTGGCAATTATCGAACTTCATCTAAGCCTGTAAGATTTGACTTTATTCCTACTTGGAAATGAGGAGGAAAATTGGGTCAGAAAAAAAGGGATTTTACAGGTATTAGGGAGCTCAAGTTTACTTAGTATGGCAAAGTTCAAAATATAGCAGGGACATGATAGAATACTTTTCAGTTTCTAACCAGAAAGGACATCATTTAGTGGAAGAAAATCCAGCTATTTCATAGCGAATGATAAATTGGCAAAATCACTAGCTTTGCTCTTATACAGCATTAGCAATGATGGCAGATAATTTTGGCTTGTCAAGTTTCTGCTTTTCGTCATGTTCATGTGAGAAAAAGGTTTTAAGCTTAAAATGTCACAGTATAGTAATATTTATTTATATCAATTTTTATTCCAAAATAATTTGTGGTAACTCAATGTCATAATTTTAAGGATTTAGTAAATCCACTAAGCATAATTTTAGAAGACTCTCTGAAAGGGCTTCATCTTTTTTCCTCAAGGCCCACAAATCTTCACAAGGGCTTATCTTTTAAGAATGCATTTAGAATTCTTTCTCATTCTACACACCCATGAATCACATCGGAATATCACAGTGGAACTTCGTGTTCTCTAAACTTTTTCTTTTTTTAAAAAAACTCATATTTTGATAAATTAAGATTAGATTAGTGAGATTTGACTATGGCCAGAGGAAGACTACATTTGTAATTAATACATTACTGAAACAAAATGGGTGTCTATATCAGAGGGTAGGAATGGAAGAATACCATGGGTGCGACTCTTTTTATCCTAAATGGTGATCTTCTATAATCAAACCAGTAGAGAACACAAGTTTAAGCATTTTAAATAAGAAAAAACTCCTTGGCCATACAGGGGCAGTTTCTACCAACAGATTTATAGCTTCCACAAAAAATAAATATTAGAGATTATTCGTTGAGGTTATACCATGTTTCCAGCACTATGCATTCCTTCTGCTGGGGCAGCAAAGTGTCGTCTTTCAAAGGATTATTCCACTGATGAAAAGAAAATGTTTACTATATGTATATATATAATATGATTATGTATGTATACATATACACATGTGTGTATATATTTGATAATTTGATGGTTACTTTTCTCTCTTGGAAGTTAACCTATAAAGTGTGTTATGCTATACATGCACACAGACACAGACACACACACACACCACACACACACACACACACACACACACAACTTCATAATTGCTCTAGATACCCGAATTCAAGCAAGAAAGTAAGAAAAATAGTGATGACTTTAGATTTGCCTTTGGGAAAAACATACCATATGTTTATAAAAAAGGTCCAAACTGCTGGCAGATTTAAGGAGGGAAAGAGAGTTGACTTTTTTGCCTGTCCATGTGCAAATCCTCTTGGCAGTTTGGGAGATGGGGCAGGAACTGAACTGAGGTCTGAGGGATCCCCGAGTTCTTGCTGCCCAGGCACCTCAGCTCAGGAGGACTGTGTGTTTAAAGGGAAGAGAGAATCATTGGGAGGGCCATCATCCTTGAGACTGAAAATGCAGGCTCTGTAGGAAGTCCTAAGCTATTTAGGAAAATAGTCAGGAGGCTTGTTTCCCATGCAACATCTACTTTTAAAATGTTTGCTTTGAAAACGTAATTATAAAAGAAAGCCACTGCTTAGCTCATCTTTCTTGGGAGGAAAGAATATTACATTATAAGATCAAGAAAATAAAGAGGCTTTTAGTGTTAGAACTCACAAGTTCAGTTTCAGTAATTCTAGGCGGTTAAAGGGATAAAAAAGCCAAATAGGAGCCTTGTCAGCAATCGTGAATACTCTGCATAAAGCTAAAGAAAATGCTTTGCAGCTGCTGTCAATTGTTTAAGGAAGATTTCATAGCAACTTTAGAACTCTCAAGCCTCGGCAGTACTGGCTTGTCCGAAAAGTTTGTCTATAAATTTCTGTAGACTGTTAATCAGTGTTATCGGAAGTTCTGTACCCATTATGCCCAGGGTGCCATAAAGTTAGTTTTATGGTCACTTAATTTTAAAGAGCATATGATTGATCTGAAACCTCCAAATTGAATATATACATGGTAAACATCTCTAAATAGAGATCATTTTTAAATACATTTCTATAATTACTATATATATATAATAATTTTGATGGGTAAAATAATTTTTAAAACATTATTTTGCCAAAATTTATGCTATATCTCAATTTTGTTTCATAACTGTTCCCTGAGCATGAACAATTCTAATGGGGATTGTATTAAAAATAAGTGTCTTTGTTTTGGGAAGATTCCACCTTGGTATGTAATGGACAATCACGGCAAGTGTCTTTTGTGGGAACTTCCTATGTGTGGAGGGATGTTTAAGAAGCAGCTACATGGACACACCTCAGACTCTTATTCCCCAGAAGCTTTGCTCTTTGGGTGGCCCAAGCTCCCTGAAACAGTCATCCCATAACTGACCACAGAAACCCTCCGTAAATTTCATACCATCTCACCCTTCTTTTAGTATCAGGCCAGAAACAGCCTGAGACCTTGAGTCATTCCTGTCCCCAAAGAATCCTGGGCTTACAGTTAAGGTATCTAAAGTCAGCCACTTCTTGGGCTTCTCACCCACCCACTCACCCCCATCCTTTCCAGACCCTCATCCCCCACCTACTGCACTGTCCTGGGTTTACATGTTCGAACTCCCATTCCTCTCACATCTTTCCAGTTTCATTCTGGAGCTGTCGATGTAAGCCAACTCCCCAACCACGTTATGGTTTTCAGGAAATCCCTTCCCATTCACTTGCCTTATCCACTTGAACCACAGTACAGTGGGTGCAGAATGTTTTCCTGCCTCCATACTGCTATATCTAGGCTAGTACTCTTTCACTTCCAGGTAGTCATTAACACTCATTTGAGTTAATGAATTTTGTTTTATGTCCCAGGATATAGGCTATCCTGATGAATGTGTCATGGATGCTTTAAAAATGTACATTCTGTTGTTTTGCAGTGGCATGTTTCTCTATACATGTTATTTAGATCCAGTTGGTTGATTGTATTTGCTTATTACAGGTAGCATGCTGTATCTTTTTCCTTCCTTTTTTTTTTTTTTTTTTTTTTGAGATGGAGTCTCGCTCTGTCACCCAGGCTGGAGTGCAGTGGCAGGATCTCGGCTCACTGCAAGCTCTGCCTCCCGGGTTCACGCCATCCTCCTGCCTCAGCCTCCCGAGTAGCTGGGACTACAGGCGCCCGCCACCACGCCCGGCTAATTTTTTTTTTATTGTATTTTTAGTAGAGACGGGGTTTCACCGTGTTAGCCAGGATGGTCTCGATTTCCTGACCTCGTGATCCGCCCGTCTCGGTCTCCCGAAGTGCTGGGATTACAGGCGTGAACCACCGCGCCTGGCCCCTTCCCTTTACTTTGTACCTACCTATGTTGTTGTATTTGAAGTGACTTCAGTGCACACAGCATATTACTTGGTCATGGGATGTTTTAATGTACTCTGCCAATCTCTGTATTAAATTGGTGTGTTTAGCCAATTTATTCTTAAACTAATTATGGATATGTTAAGGCTTATGGCTGCTATTTATGTTTTCTGTTTGTTTCTCTGTTTTCGGTTCCTGTGTTTCTCTTTTCCTGTCTTCCTGTGTGCTACTTGAACATTTTGAAGGATTCTATTGTGTTTTCTTTATGCCGATTTTGAGCATATCGCTTTGTATAATTTTCTTAGCAGTTTCTCTAGGTATCACAATATACACATAGAACTTATCATAGCCTATAGGTATTAATGTTTTACCACTTTGAATAAAGTGTTGAACCTTTACTTCCATTTGTTGCCTTTGCTTTCCCCACTTTTAAAATATGTCTCAGGACTTCATACATATATATGCATATATATGTATATGTGTATTTATGTGTGTGTGTGTGTGTATATATATATATATATATATATATATATACACACACACACAGATCCCAACATCAGATGGTATTATGATTTCTGCTTTAGTAATCAAATGACTTCATAAATTAATTAGGATAATAATATTCTATTATACTCAATTCCTACTTTTACCCGTCTGTTGTTCTTTTCCTTCTGAGGTTCCAGTACTTCTTATGTTATCATATACTTTCTGTTCAAAGAACTTCTTCTGGCCATTATTTAAGGGTAGGTCTGCTGGTAGTTCTTTTAATTTTAAAAATTAAGAGAACTAAAATTAAGAGAAATGTTCTCTTAGTTTTCCTTTGCCTGTGGATGACTTTGTTTCCCTTCATTCATGAAGGATAGTATTGCTGGAATTAGAAATTGCAATTAACAGTACTTTCAGCACTTGAGAAATGTTTGTCACTTCGTTCTGGGTTCTTTGGTTTCAGAGGAATTATCAAATCTCATTCAAATCGGTGGTCCCTATAGGCAATGCTTCATTTTTCTCTGGCTTCTTTTAAGATGTTTTCAGAAGTTTAATTATGATACGTTTTGTCATGAATTTCTTTGGTTTTATTATTTTGGCTTCATTTCCCTATTTGAATCTGTAGGTTATATATAGTTTAGATAGTTTGCCTAATTTTGGAAGTTTCCAGCCATTATTTATTTGAATAATTTTTCGGTCTCAGACTCTTTCTCTTCTCTTTCTGGGACTCAGACCATATGATGACCAAATGATCTGTGTTAGATATTTTATTATTGTCTGCAGCTATCTGAAAATCTTTAATTTTTTATCCATTCTTTTTCTGTTGTTTGACTGAATAAATTATTTGTTGATCTGTCCTCAAATTTACTAACTCCATCCTCTGTCATCTCTCATCTTCTTTTGAGCTCATCCAGTGAGGACTTTGTTTTTTTTTTTAATTTGGTTGTTGTTATTTTGTATTTTTCACATAATTTTCATTTGATTCTTTTTTATAACTTCTTTTTCTTTGCTGATATTTTGTATTTTGCAATTGCTTGTGGAAACATTTTTATAACACTTGCTTTAAAGTACTTGTCAGATACCCCCAACACCTGATTGATTATAGGATTGTGATTTTTTAAAAAAAATTATTTGTAAAATTATTTTATTTTCTTTTTTAGAACGGTAAGTTTTTTTTTCATTTTTGTTAAGACAAATAATTTTTTTTTTTTTTTGAGATGGAGTCTCGCTCTATCACCCAGGCTGGAGTGCAGTGGCGCGATCTCAGCTCACTGCAACCTCCGCCTCCCTGGTTCAAGATATTCTCCTGCCTCAGCCTCCCCAGTATCTGGGATTACAGGCACCCGCCACCACGCCCAGCTAATTTTTGTATTTTTAGTAGAGATGGGGTTTCACCATGTTGGCCAGGCTGGTTGTGATCTCCTGACCTCAGGTGATCCGCCCGTCTCGGCCTCCCAAAGTGCTGGGATTACAGGCGTGAGCCACCGTGCCTGGCCAAGACAAATAATTTTTTAATTATCTCCTGGACATTTTTGGATATTATTTTAGGATAATCTAGATCCTATTTAATTTGCCTATTTTAGCATGCATTCTCTCTGTTTAGGCTTAGCATACAGGTTTGGGCTTACTTTTGGGGCTATGGGTCCAATGATAATTTAGCTTATGGAGCTTCTATTCTGGTCTGCTTCATTCACCTGGCCCCACTGGGGCTCCCATTTAATCCCTGCTGGTTCTATCTGCAGAATAATTCTAATGCAGAATGCATTTCCCCTGGCCTGTTGCTGTTGAGTAGGACATGTAAGATGCAGGTAGAGAGAACTGTGCCCTCCAGGGTGCTAGGAGCTGACAGGGCTCCTACTCAATCCTTGATGGTGCCATCCCCAGGGACAAAAGAAGCTTCCTGCTCTGCCCAATGCCTCTAGGTAGGGATGACGGTCACTAGGCCTGCTTTCCAGGTGACTTGGTTCCAGGGGGCTGCCAGCTTAATCTCTGGCAGTGCTGTTGGAGAGAAGAACACCTATCTGGGCCACTTTCTGCTATAGGAGGCAGATAGGGTATGTTGGGAAAGACCAGAATGTGGTCTCTCTATGCCACTGGAATTGTAGAAGGTATGGGCCTGAGTGCTCTTCTGCTCCATAAGGGCCAGGAGAGGCCATCTTGGCTGGGCCATTCTTTCTCGGCCCTTTGGCCTAGACTTTACTTGGGCTTTTTTTGTTGTTGTCTATGCCTGTTTGTAATTCCAGGTTGGAGGTCTCTCTAGCACCTAGTCTGGGATATTTGGGAGATGAAAAGAAAACCCAGGGACTCCGTTGCCATACTCTTCCTCAAGTTTTCCACTCTGGCTGGTGACAACAGGACCTGTTCCTGACTCTCAGGGAACTGTTTGGGTTGTTCCATTGGTTTGGATTGTTCCAATTACTTGAATTGTTCATCTGGATAATTCATTTGGATCGTCCTAGTTCAGTCAAGAGAAGCTTCCTCTCATGCATGCATTAACTGTGCTCAGCCAAAGACGTTAGAGGGCCCTCTGTGGCCCTCCAGAGCAGAGTGCTGTGGCATGTCACCTTTTAAAGGACACTCAAAATTATCAGTGAATTCATCAATAGAACAATATAAACCAATTATAACAATTTATAATTTCTATAATTTCTTTATTTATACTATAGTCCAGTCAGTGATGAAAAATGAACTATGCACATATCATATAGCTCAGAAGTTATGCTCCTAGGTATTTGACCAAGAGAAATAACGGCATATGTCCACACAAATCTCTGCCTAACCTAGTGTCACAAAGAGTTTGTCCTTTGTTTCCTTGTAGAGTTTTAGTTTCATAGCTTTAGTTTTATATTTAGGTCTATTATTCCTCCTGAGTTAATATTTGGATAAAGTGTGAGGTTTGGATTACACTGTTTTTTTTGCATGTAGATATCCAGTTATCTCAGTACTATTTATTGAATAAGTTATTCTTTCTCCACCAAATTGCCTTTGTATCTTTCATTAAAGTGAGTTGACTCTGTGTGGGTCAATTTCAAGACTCTCTATTCTGCTTCACTAATCTATTTGTCTATCTTTATGCCAACAGCATACTCAACTGATTACTGTAGCTTTATACTGAGATTTTCAGTCAGGTAATGTAAGACCTGAATACAGTACGTTTTTTGCAAAGTTGCTTGGCTGCCCCATGTTTTGCCTTTCCATCTGAATTATAGAATCAGCTTTTTTATTTCTTCAAAAAGGTATTCTGGGATTATAAACAGATTGCATTGAATTTATAGATCAGTGTGAGAATTTAGATCTTAACTGTATTGTGTCTTGATCTGCAAACTCATAGATCTCTTCATTTATTTTTGTCTTTACTTTTTCTCAGCAATGTTTTGTACTTTTTTATGCGTCAGTCTTGCAAGTATTTTCCAGGTTAATCCCTGTGTATATTATTTTTATGCTATGAGCTATCATTTTATATATGATTGAATTCCATTTATTAAGATTTTGTTAGGCAGGGTGCGGTGGCTCACACCTGTAATCCCAGCACTTTGGGAGGCCAAGGTGGGTGGATCACGAGGTCAGGAGATCAAGACCATCCTGGCTAACAGGGTGAAACCCCATCTCTACTAAAAAAATACAAAAAATTAGCCGGGCGTGGTGGCGGGTGCCTGTTGTCCCAGCTACTCGGGAGGCTGAGGCAGGAGAATGGCATGAACCCGGGAGGCAGAGCTTGCAGTGAGCCGAGATCATGCCACTGCACTCCAGCCTGGACGACAGAGCGAGACTTCTTTTCAAAAAAAAATAAGATTTTGTTAGTTTTTTGCATTTATGGTTGTGAGGGATATTTATCTGTAGCTTTCATTTGTTTCAGTATCTTTATCGGATTTTGGTATCAGAGTAATGTTGACCTCATGGAATGAGTTGGAAAATATCCTCTCATGTTCTAAGTTCTGGAAGAATTTGTATATAATTGCTATTTTGTTTTTAATGCTTGGTAGAATTAGCCAAGGAAGACATCTGAGCCTGGAGCTTTCTTTTCAACTACATTAATGAATATAGTGGTATTCAATGTCTCAATTTCTTCTTGAGTAAGTGTTGTTAGGGTGTCTCTTTCAAGGACTTTCCCATTTTATCTTCCTTATTGATTTTGTTTAATCCTAAGTTATCCATGTTTCCCTCATTATTCTCAGTATCTGTAGTCTATTGTGTCACCTCTCTCACTTCTGATATTAGTAAATTTTGTATGCTTTCTTTTTTCCTTATCAGTCTGAATAGGTGATTGTTAATTTTATTGTCATTCAATTCAAAATACTTTCTATTTTCCCTTTTTCCTTTCTTTCCATGGGCTATTTAGTATGCTCCTTAGTTTCCAAATATTTAGGGATTTTCCAGATATTTTTCTGTTATTGACCTTTAAATTATTTTCTTTGAGGGCAAAGAGCATACTTTGTATGACTTGGATTCCTTTAAATCTGGGGGATTTGTTTCATGGCTCAGAACATGGTCAATCTTGGTAAGTGTTCCATGTGGACATCTGAGTACTCCACCCGATGCCCCATGAATTATGAGGTGTTTCACCCTGGCTACTGGGAACAGGAAATTTTCCCACCTGCTGTGAGCTCCTGCTTCATTTCCTCATTTCCTTTTGGGTGGTTCTTTTCCTAGCATTGGGTAATTTTTTCACATGTGTGCAGTGATCAGTACTTAGCTGAAGACTCAAGAGCAAAGATGTCCAGAGCTCACTATTTGTGTGAAACTTTTCTCTAGGTCTTCCTTCTCTGTGAAATCCAGCTGCATTGCCCTCCCCAAGCTCTTAGTTTTGCCCCTTCATTCAGGGAGACCACCAGGCTCTCTCTGGATTCCCCCTCCCTGTGTAGCCACATAGCTTAATAAACAGCAGCTGGGTTCTAACATCTGCTTCCACATGCAATAGGTTGCAATATGTTGTTTAAGATGAAGTAGATGAAGAATATCCAGCCTCACAGAGATGTACAATGTGTTTGGAAAATAAAGGATTGCATTAATAGTTTTCCAGATTATTATACATATTCTTCATTGACAGTACACCAAAACTAGACAAATGGTAATTTCTTTTTTTTTTTTTTTTTTTTTTGAGATGGAGTCTCGCACTGTAGCCCAGGCTGGAGTACAGTCGCATGATCTCGGCTTGCTGCAAGCTCCGCCTCCTGGGTTCACGGCATTCTCTTGCCTCAGTCTCCCGAGTAGCTGGGACTACAGGTGCCCGCCACCACGTCCGGCTAATTTTTTGTATTTTTAATGGAGACGGAGTTTGACCGTGTTAGCCAGGATGGTCTCGATCTCCTGACCTCATGATCCTCCTGCCTTGGCCTCCCAAAGTGCTGGGATTACAGGTGTGAGCCACTGCACCTGGCTGACAAATGGTAATTTCTTAAAGTTTAACTGCAATGAGGAGTCTGTATCCAAATCAATGAAATATTTTTGTTACATGAAATTCATTGGTCTATCTTTCACTTGGAATGAATCATGTATCTCAGCATGATTGTGTTACATGACACATTTATCATTTGGGAAATATCCATTCAAAGCTTTATGCTGATTTTATAAATGTTAATACATTTCATTACATTGTATAAAGAAATTTACAATTGTTATTTTCACTACAAATCTTATCATAAATTCTTTAAAACTGGGACGTTGTCAGGCACATCATGATGGTTGTAAGTTTTCAGAAATTCTAATATTCACTTGAAACTTTTATCGTCAGCAACAAATACCATCCATTGTTTTTTTTTTTTTTGAAAGCAACAGATTCTCTTCAGTTTTGTGAGGAAATTTTTGGCCAAAACCTGTCTGAATAACAGAAGCTTGTCAGTCGTTATTTCAGTAACACTTGTGTTTATTGCAACTGACGTGATTGCAGGAGCTGCACAGGGCACTTGTCCATCCTACTTGAGCATGCAGCAGACACCATTTCTCCACACAATGTTAAGAAGACAGTAACGGGCCACTGTGTAATCAACACTGTTTCATCAATGGCATTCTTAAGTGAAGCTGACATTCTTTTTTTAACTGTGATTGTGTGGCAATCAATCTTATCATAATGGCTGGAATGTTTTTTGCCACTTGTTTGATTCTTGCTCAGATGTCAGCATTTTTTCTCACCCTTTCAAGACAAATGTCAACATGGTGAAAAGATAATTAGCATTTTAGTTCTATTATGAAAGTAGTTTTGACCTCATGAATCTGTTGGCAAATTTACAGAAACCCTGAGTCCACACTTTGAATCCTACCTTGACAGTCACTGGCTTAGGAAAACTGAATCCGATTACACTCTGTTAATGTACTTGGTTCTCGTTGGAGTAGAAGAGACTTCCCGCCTCCGTCACTCCATCCCAAATGTCTTCTCAGCCTCATGTATGCTATTTGGCATAGTTATGAAGTGCGGTGAAGTGAAAAGAGATATGTTCTATCTTTCTTTGCAGCCAAATCTCATTCCTACTGCCTTTTTCTTATTAGCGTTTAGTCATTGTACATTTCATTAGGTTAGAGTTATAAGAGTCAATATATATATATATATATATATATATATATATATATATATATATATTTCTTTTTTTTTTTGAGATTGGAGACTATTGCCAAATGCCAACTAAGCAATTCTCAGGTAGAGTTTTCTTTCTTTTTGTCCAGAGGCAAAAGGAACAAGAAACAAACAAAGAGAGTCTAAACAAAAGACATCCAGACCAGGGGGCTCGATATTGCTGCTGTAACTTTAACATCCAGACATGCACCTTGCCAGAAGTTTGACTTCCAGCTGCTGGCTATTGCCAGGCCCCAAGGTCTTATGTATTATGGCACTCATAAGTCTGGTGGGATGGGAAGGAGGGGATGCCTTTTAATTGGGAAAATATGTATCTTCTTCAAAATTATTTTAAATTAGCATTTAGCTAATAATAAGCTCAATTAAGAGAACATATTTATATGAAAATCTAATTTATTTAATTATTTCAAATGAGAAATAAAAGAGAAGTCATTTGAAAGCCAACATTTGCACTGCATGTGTGTCTCTGTGTGTATGTGTTTTTATACCCGTGTCCCTTTTTTATGACCTGCTGGAAAATCCTGGCTGTCCCACCCAGAACACACTGAGCCCTACAGTTCCGTTCCTTTCCAAGTGGTCTGTAACTGATTGAGAAAAAGCATCTCAGGCCAAGTAACAGGACTGGCTCAATCCGTAGGCACCTTTCTGCTGAAAGTATTTCTATTGAAAGACTGAGGGCTCCAAAATCGTCCCTGAGCTTTTTATTACGATTATTATTTTAGATTAAGATACTGATGTTCCATGAAACAATATGATTGTGGTATAATTACATTGTTAGCTAGTCATCTAAGAAGATCTTCAGATTTGGAAGATAGGGTGAGTAAACGTTAATGAATAGGAAGTAGAGGTGCTGCCTGGCAAATCTATGGTGTTTTGTCTTTAAAGTCCTTCAGAAAACTTCAAATGTGTTGTCAAAAGCTTAACATGAGCCTTTGACAAACTGAGAATATCTTTTATTAAAACTGATGTGAGTCAACACATTAACATTGTGAAGAAATTACTATGTGTATATTTTAAGGTTCATTTAATAGGAGTATAAAATACTTCTCAAAATTCTTATTTTTAACATAGTTTTAGGTTCACTGTGAAATCGAGAGGATAGTATAGAGCTTGCATATACCTCCGGCCTCCACCCATGCGCAGCCTCCCCCATTATCAGTACCCCCACCAGCATGGTGCATTTGTTACAATTGATGAGCTTACATTCACTTCATCACTCAGTTTGCATGAGGGTTCACTCCTGGTGTTGTAACTTCTCTATGGGTTTGGACAAATGTATAATGACATGCATCCACCATTATGGTATCATGCAAAATAGTTTCACTGTCCTAAAAAATCTTC
Source organism: Homo sapiens (assembly GCF_000001405.40). NCBI lineage: Eukaryota > Metazoa > Chordata > Mammalia > Primates > Hominidae > Homo > Homo sapiens. The sequence goes on from NC_000018.10 coordinate 11,201,633, forward strand.
TGTGCTTCACCTATTCATCCCTCCCTCCTACCCCCAGCCCCTGGTAACTACTGAACTTTTTTATTTTTATTTTTATTTTTATTTTATTTTATTTTTTGAGATGGAGTCTCTCTCTTGTTGCCCAGGCTGGAGTACAATGGCATGATCTCGGCGGCTCACTGCAACCTCCGCCTCCCAGGTTCAAGTGATTCTCCTCTCCCAGACTTCTGAGTAGCTGGGATTACAGGCATCTGCCACCACGCCCGGCTAATTTTTTGTATTTTTAGTAGAGAAGGGGTTTCACCATGTTGGTCAGGCTGGTCTCAAACTTCTGACCTCAGGTGATCCACTGCCTTGGCCTCCCAAAGTGCTGGGATTACAGGCGTGAGCCACCGCGCCCGGCCACCACTGAACTTTTTACTGTCTCCATGGTTTTTCCTTTTCCAAAATGTCATAGAGTTGAATATGCAGCCTTTTCAGACTGGCATCTTTCACTCCCTAATATGCATTGACGACTCCCCCACGTCTCTCCATGACTTGAAAGCTCATTTCTTTGTAAGTTGCACTTACCTTAAAAATTATATGCAAGTTTATGAAGAGCTGGAGGCTTGTAGAAAACAAATGATGATAATGGCTTCTATAAATTGTAGCTTAAATATTAAAAACTGAAATGGGTAGAGGAGGCAAGCCTACCACAGGAAAATCTCCTAATTGGAAGAAAAAAAATCACCATGTTTACCATGCCTAACTTGACCGTTCTTTCTCTGTTCTTTCTGATGGAAGGGAAGTAGAGGCAAAGAGCTAGTGAAAGGAGAGAGGTAATGCAATGATGCTTGGACTCTTATAAAAGTAAAATATAAAGTTACTTTTTTCTGGAGCTGTTAGAACTATCAGCAGTGCACTAATAAGGTACCTAAGAGCCTAGAAACATAGACTTTCACAAGCTGTGAAGAGGAATAGTGGAAAATGTATGTTAAAATCAAAGTAAAAGAAATAACAAGCATGGGTAAAATAGAAGATATAGCTGCAAATACATGAGAAATACTATCATTTTTATTTTTGTTTATACTGAATATTTGAAGAGCTCTTTCTGAAATTGCAAGTCCTGCCAGAAGCCTGGCTGTTTGGAGGATGAAGGCATCACTGTGGCCTCACTTTCCGAACAGCGTGCCAACTGCCGGCATTGTTCATCTATACCAGGCAAGAAATAAGTGGCTTTGTACATGCTCACAATCTCACCCCACTATAGAAACATCAGCTTGCATGCTTGCTACCCCAGCCTCAGCAGGGGCAAAGGATCCTATTTTTCTTGATGAAATCTACTCTATCGTGTATTTTCTTCTTCCCCTGACACAAATGTTCAGCATGGAACTGCCTCCTTTCCATAGTACACCAAATGCATGTGCAGATGTTTATGTTATTAAATTAGAGAACATGTTTCATGTGATAAAGTTTCCCACTATTCTTTGAACCATCATCTGACATTTCAGGAATTTCTTACCTTACAAGTCCCACATCTCCAAGACAGGGCCAGCGACTCACCTCCTTGCATTCCCTCCCGATCTGGGCCAGCGTGTGGTGTAGGCACCTCAACTGAAAGCCCCAGCAAGAGACCTCAAAGCAAAACACAGGGCCATGAGGGAGCCTGCAGCATCTGTTTCTGATGACAGCGGTGGCAGCGGCAGCCAGAGTTTGGGGGGCTGTGGCAGTGGAGTTTCTGGCTTTATTGCCCAATACAGGTATTGTGAGCATCAGGTCTGTGCTGTGCAGCCATGTCCAGAGCAGGTCCCTGGCTGTGGTGCCTCTAGGCCCTCAGCTCTGGCCATCACAGAAAGACTCGTCAGTGAATTCACTTGCAGCTTTAACTGATGAAGTGGGTTCTGCAGCTTGCATGTAAGAACACTAGCTGAGTGTTTTGTACTCATTTACTACCCTTTGCCAGTCCTTTCACAATTGCCAGTCTTGCGTGTCCAGCCCTACACCCAGGCAGGGAAACATGTTCTGTGGCTCATTCTGTGCATGATGGCATGAGCACCGAGTGAGGAAAAGCGGTGGGAGCCTGGGCTGCAGAATTGGAGGAGCAGGCAGGAATGAGGGGAGATGAGGGCGTTTATCTCAAGTGTAGCCACCTGACATCGTGGCTGCCTGGGCCATAGCAGGCCCTGCATACATGTTAGCTATCAAGAACAGGTTTTTACTTTTATAGTTGTTATTACGTGCATTTTATAGATTAGGAAATGCAACCAAAAGAAGATAGAATAATTCTCGAAACTATACAGCCAGTAAGGGGCTGAGCTAAGTAAGATTCAAAACCACCATCCTTTTGCAGTTCTCAAGCACATGTCATTTGTCCTGTGGAGTGCACCTAGAAGCTATATCTAAGCCCAGACTTAAGGGACAGATCTTTTCTCTAAAAACTTTGAATTTAACTTTTCCTTCTTCGGCAGTCTACACTGGCATGTCCCTGCCTGGTCCACAGCTGTGGTGACTGGGTCCAACCAGAGCACACGAGGTGTGAGTGTGGACAGGTGAGGCCGTCTGGAGTTGTTCACTGGGAGACAGGAATGAAGAGGGAATCAGTTTTTGCCCATCTGGCATTTTTACTCACTGCCATGCTTCTAACCACAGATTATGATAAATGCAAAGTGAATTGAAGTCAGAACATGGGTGTGGGGAGACTGTTCCTCTGCTCTCTTTATCACACTCAAATTCTTTGTTTAGATCTGTTTTTCCCAGATAAAGTGAGTGTAAACAAACTTCTCATGTTCATTTCTGTATGTTAATGAATAAAAAGCACTAAAGCTCTCTTGAATTTAGAGTTGGTTAAAAGTACACATTTAGAGAGCACATCAATATTTCTTTAAATACTGTTGAGTATTGTCTAAATTGAGCCTTCTGACATCAGTAGGGCTGACATAAAATATATTTTATTCTTGAATAACTCAAGTTAATTTTCTGACACTTATTTTTTTCATCTCTGGAGAGGCATGGACTTTGGAGAGACGCAGACACTGCATGTTCCCTGTCTATTGCCGTCCTAACAGATACCACCAGAGAAGTGGCTGAAAGCAGCACCCACTTACGATCTCACAGTCAGCGTATGTCACAGCTCTGCCCAGCTGCTCCTCTGCTCTGAGGTTCACAAAGCCAAAATCAAGGTATCCACAGGACTGTGCTCCTTAACTGTAGGCTCTGGGGGCGAACCTGCTTCCAAGCCATTCAGATTGTTGGCAGAATTCAGTTTTATGTTGTCCTACAATTGAGGTCCCCGTTTTCTTGCTGGCTGTCAACTGAGATTCATTCGCAGCTTTCAGAGGCCACCTACTCCTTGGCTTGCTCCTCTTCTCACCCTTCGAACTTATCTGACCTCCCTCTGCTACCTTTCTCTGGCAGACTCGTCTGCCTTCCTCTTCTGCTCTTAAGGATTCATTGCAATCGGCCCACCTGAATATGTCCAACATACACTCCCTTCCCTTCAAGCCAGCTACTGTATTCAGTAATATTATTTGCACCTGCAAAACATCTCCACAGCAGTATGAGATTATGTTTGATAGAATGAACAGGGGAGGGGAATTTGAAGGGGCGTCTTTAGGATTCTGCCAACCACTCATGTGTGTAAATCTGACTTATAAACTAAATGGTCTTTGACTAATTCATTAAATTCAATGAGCCTTGAACTTGTTTTTCTTTTGTAAAATGAAGCTAATTAAGATATATTTCACATAACTGCCATAAAGACTACAGGGGACTATCTATAAAAGGTGTTGGCGGGATGCAGTGGCTCATGCCTGTAATCGCAGCACTTTGGGAGGCTGAGGCAGGTGGATCACTTGAGGTTCGGAGTTCGAGACCAGCCTGGCCAACATGGTGAAGCCCTGTCTGAACTAAAAATAGAAAAATTAGCTGGGCATGGTGGTGAGCGCCTGTAGGCCCCAGCTACTTGGGAGGCTGAAGCAGGAGAATAGCTTGAACCCGGGAGGTGGGGGTTGCAGTGAGCTGAGATTGTGCCACTGCACTCCAGCCTGGGCAACAGAGTGAGACTCCATCTAAAAAAAAGTGCTTAGCACAGTGGCCGGGCAAATGGTGAGATTAACAAATCATATCATTATTAGTAAGGGGAGTAGTAATGCGAGTAAAACTGCTGTGCCTGGAGCAGGGTAGGTGCTCAATAAATGCTATTTTTCTTTCTTCCTACATACACTAGAGATTTGTGATAAAAGTGCTAAGCTTTTGTATCACAGGTGACCTCTCAGGGGAGATCATACCTGGTAGTCCTGGCATCTAAGGTGTCTGTTCTCCCAGTTCCTCTCTCTGCTCTCATGCAACTACTGCCATTGCCAGCACACAGATGGCCGTAATCGTGAGAAAGAGTAGCCACGTGGTGGGATGCCGAAAACTATCAGGAATGAGGCAAAGGGGTCTGTTTTATATCAAATATTGAATTAAAACCAAAAGACCAATTCATCTGAAGGATATAACACTCCTTAATGTTTATATACCAAAGAGCAGAGCCTCGAAATAAAGGAAGCAATAACTCAGACCTGTAAGGAGAAATAGACAAATCCACAATTATAAGTGGTGATATCTGTACCCACTCTCAATAAGTGATGGAACAGATGGACAGAAAACCATTTTGCATATAGATGATATAAACAACACCATCAATCAACCTGACTTAATTGACATTTCTAGAACACTTCATCCAACAACAGCCAAATAGCTGAATTCTTTTCAAGTGCACAAGAACATTAAAACATTTACCAAGATAAATGACGTTTTGAGTCACAAAACAAGTCTCAGTAAATTAAAACCAACAGATCCAAGTCATACAAAGTATGTTCTGTGACCGTAATGGAATTGAATCAATAACTGAATGGTCTCTGGAAAATCCCAAAGTATTTGGAAACTAAGTAACACAATTATAAATAATAGGTTAAAGAAGAAATCAAAGGAATAATTGGAAAATATTTTGAACTCGATGAAAATATAAGATATCAAAATTTGTGGAATGTGGGAGCAGTACATGGGGGAAATTTATAGTGCTGTTTTGGAAAGAACAAAGGTCTCAAATGAATGATTTCAACTTCTGCTTTAAGAAAATCAAATTAAATCAAAAATAATAAAAGAAAGGAAATGATAACGTGGTAGGCAGAATTTAAGATGGCTTCCAGAATTCTTGCCCCTTGGTATAAATGCCCTGTAGAAAACTTTCCTCTTAAATGTGGGCAGGATCTATGAATATGATAGGCTATCATTTCTAGGATTATGCTACTTTATATGGCAAAAGGAATTCTGCATATGATATTAGGTTTTGAGTCAATTGACTATATGTTAATCAAAAGGAACAAGATTATCCTGCATGGAACTGACCTAATTAGGTGAGCTTTTAAAAACAGGTGAAGCATCACAAACAGGTTTTTGCTGGCCTGAAGAAGATAGCAAAGCCATGTTGTGAACTGTAATGAAGACACGTGTCACGTAGGAGCTGAGTGATCCCAGGCCAACAGCCTGCGAGAATATGGGAACTACAGCTGTAAGAAACTGAATTCTTATTTTTATTTCTGAATTTGTGAGCTTGGACCTAAGCTTCAGATGAGCTCACAGCCCAACTGACACCTCGATTTCAGCCTAGTGAGATCCTTATACAAGGATCCATGCCCAGGCTTCTGACCCATGAAAAAATAATAATAAATAATACGTTTCTTAAATAATTTAATTTAAATAATAAATTTATGTTGTTTTAAGCTAGTAAGTTTGTAGCAATTTGGCTTGCAGCAATAGAAAACTAATATAGATAAAGCACAAAGCATAAATAAATAAAATAGAAAACAAAAACATAGAAAAAATAATAAAATTAAAAGCTGATATGGTGAGAATATTAAAAATTCTGATAAACCTACACCTCAAGAGAAGAGATCCAATTCTCAATATCTGGAATTAGAGAGATGTCATCACTACAGATTTTATAGATATTAAAAAGAATAGTTAAGAAATATTATGGACAAATTTATGCTAATAGATTTGAAAAATATATGAAATGGACAAATTATTTGCTCTCTTCCCAAAGCTCACTCAAGAAGAAATAGATAATGTAAATATCCCTACATATATAAAGCACTTGGGTTGAAAACATTCCCACAATGAAATACATAGGACTGATGTATTCACTAGTGAATTCTATGAACTATTAAAAAACTTATCAACTGGATGTGATGATGCATACCTGTGCTCCCAACTACTCAAGAGGCTGAGGCAGGAGGATTGCTTGAGCCCGGAAGTTCAAGGCTGCAGTGAGCTTTGAGTGTGCCACTGCACTCCAGCTTGGGCAACAGAGCAAGACCCTGTCTCTATAAAAATAATTAAAATAAAAAATAAAAATTTAATGATTTAATTCTACAGAAACACTCTAAAAAATGGAAAAGGAAGGAATACTTCCCAGCTGTTTATATGAAGCCAGCATTACTCTCTGATATGAAAACAAAACAAATACATTACAAAAGAAGGTGAAATATAGACCAATATCCCTCAGGAACATAGAACATGTAAAAATTGTAAACAAAGTGCCAGCAAATCCACTTAAATTATACAAAATGATAATACAACACAACCAAATGGGGTTTGTCCCAGGATTCTACAATTGGTCCAACATTTGAAAATCCAGCAATGTGATTTCCCATACCAACAAACTAAAAAAAGATAAGCCACATTATTCACTTAATATGTGCAGAAAAAGTACTTGGAAAAAGCCTTACATCCATTCCTGATAAAAGTGCTCAGCAAACTAGAAATTAAAGAGAACCGTCTCGATCTGAAAACGAAATCTATGACAAACCTAGAGCTAATATCAGATACAACAGTAAAAGGCTGAATGCTTTCCCCCGAAGCATATCTGCTCTCAACACTTTTATTCAACATTGTATTGGAGATTCTACCCAGTGAAAACAGGCAAGAAAAAGATATAAAAGTCATCAAGTTTGGGATGGGAAAATTCAAAAGTATTTTTGGACAACATGAACACCTGTTTAGAAAATCTGATAAAACATACAAAACCATCCTGGCTAACACGTGAAACCCCGTCTCCGCTAAAAATACAAAAAATTAGCCGGGCGTGGTGGCGGGCGCCTGTAGTCACAGCTATTCAGGAGGCTGAGGCAGGAGAGTGGCGTGAACCCTGGAGGCGGAGCCTGCAGTGAGCCGAGACCGCGCCACTGCACTCCACCCTGGGTGACAGAGCGAGATTCCGTCTCAAGAAAAAAAAAAAAAAAAAAAAATTCTGGAACTAATATATGTGTTTAGCAACATGGCAGGACCCAAAATCAGTATACAAAATTCAATTGTATTTCTAGATATTATAAATATACATTTAAAAATTAAATTCAATAAAACTTAGGGATAAATCTTACAAAAGCTGTGCAAGACCTGTTCACTCTACCTTAGGAAATATAGCTGATAGAAATTAAAGGCCTACGGAGTTTGCAGTGAACTGAGATCACGCCACTGCACTCCAGCCTGGGTGACAGAGCAAGACTCTGTCTCCAACAACAACAACAACAAAGAAATTAAAGGCGTAAGTACAAGAATAAATGCAGAGACATACCATGTTCATGGGTAAGAATACTGAATTAATATTAGTAAGATGTTACTTCTCCCCAAATTTACCTATAGCTTCAATGAAATTTCAAAGTTACAGCAAGCATTTTTTTTTTAAATTGAGCAGCTGATTTCAAAATTCATGTGGAATTGCAATGTACTTAGAATGGCTAAAACAACATCAAAGTAGAAAAAAATCAGAGTAATAACACTACCTGACACAACTTATTATAAAGCTACAGTTTTCAAGACAGTAAAGTAGTATTGTTTCAGCAATTTAAATGTGCAAAGTAAGTAGAAAGTCCAGAAATAGACCACTTATTTATAGACAAGTAATTTTTGACGAAGGTGCAAAGACAATTCAGTAGAGAAAGGATAGTCATTTTAAATAAATGATGCCAAAATAACTGGCATAATAAATATCCTTAAGCTAAAAAATGTAAAGTTCAATTAATAGCTCATACCACTTGCCAAAATTAATTCAAATGAATCTAAGACCTACATACAGAATCTAAATTTATAAAACTTTTAGAAGAAAACAAGAGGAAAATCTGACTTGTTTAGGCAAATATTTCTTAGACATGATGCCAAAACAAAATCCATAAAGAAGTTGATAAATTGGGCCAGGCGCGGTGGCTCACGCCTGTAATCCCAGCACTTTGGGAGGCCAAGGCAGGTGGATCACGAGGTCAGGAGATTGAGACCATCCTGGTTAACACGGTGAAACCCCATCTCTACTAAAAATACAAAAAATTAGCCGGGCATGGTGGCGGGCACTTGTAGTCCCAGCTACTCAGGAGGCTGAGGCAGGAGAATGGCGTGAACCCAGGAGGTGTAGCTTGCAGTGAGCCAAGATCGTGCCACTGCACTCCAGCCTAGATGACAGAGCCAGACTCCATCTCAAAAAAAAAAAAAAAAAAGAAGTTGATAAATTTAATTCATTAAAAGCAAAAATGAAGAGACAACCCACAGCCTAGGAGGAAATATTTTAAATCCTA